>NC_000023.11:87614057-87917087 GCF_000001405.40 Homo sapiens | reverse complement strand
TTCTGTAGATATCTATCAGGTCCATTTGATTAAGTGCTGGGTTCAGGTCTTGAATATCTTTGTTAATTTTCTGTCTCGATCTGTCTAATATTATCAGTGGGGTTTTAAAGTCTCTCACTATTATAGTATGGGAGTCTAAGTCTCCTTGAAGGTCTCTAATAACTTGCTTTATAAATATTGGTGTTCCTTTGTTGGGTGCCTATATATTTAGGATAGTTAGATCTTCTTGTTGAATTGAACCTGTTACCATTTTGTGATGTTCTTCTTTGTCATTTTTATTAATCTGTGTTGGCTTAAAGTCTATTTCATCTGAAAATATTATTGAAAGCCCTGGTATTTTTTGTTTGCTTTTCATTTCTTTTGTAGATTTTTCTCCACCCCTTTATTTTGAGCCTATGTGTGTTATTGTGTGTGAGATGTGTCTCTTGAAGACAGCATACCAATGGGTCTTGTTTTTTTATTCAGCTTGCCACTCTGCTTTTTTTGTTGTTAATTGGGAAATTTAGGTCATTTACATTCAAGGTTACTATTAATATGTGTGGATTTCATCCTGTCATCATGATGTTAGCTGGTTATTTTGCCAACCTGTTTATGTGATTGCTTTATAGCGTCACTGGTCTGTGTACATAAGTGTGTTTCTCTAGTGGCTGGAAACAGTCTTTACTTTCTATATTTAGTGTTTCCTTCAAAAGCTCTTGTAAGGCCTGCCTGGTGGTTACAAATTTCCTCACCATTTGCTTGCCTTAAAAGGATGTTATTTCTCCTTTACCTATGAAGCTTTGTTTGGCCATATATGAATTTCTGGGTCAGATTTTTTTTTGAAAAAAAAAAAGAATATTAAATATTGGCACCCATTTTTTTCTGGCTTGTAAGATTTCTGGTGAGAGGTCTACTGTTAGTCTGATGGGCTTCCTTTTGTAGGTGACCTGACCTTTGTCTCTAGCTGCCTTTGACATTTTGTCTTTCATTTGGACCTTAGAGAATCTAATGATTCTATGTCTTAGGGGTAGTCTTCTTGAGAATAATTCTTGAGGATTATGTTACTGGGGTTCTCTGCATTTCCTGGATTTGAATATTGGCCTCTCTAACTAGGTTGGGAAAGTTCTCCTGGATGATATTGTAAAATATATTTTCCAAGTTGGCAAACATATTTCCCCATCTTTTTCAGGGACACCAGTGAGCCATAGATTTGGTCTGTCTATGTAATCCCATATTTCTTGGAGGTTTACTTCATTCCTTTTTATTCTTTTCTCTCTATTCTTGTCTGACTGTCTTATTTCCAAAAGCCAGTCTTTAATTTCTGAGATTCTTTCCTCTGCTTAGTCTATTTGGCTATTAATATTTGTGATTGTATTATAAAATTCTTGTAATGTGTTTTTCAGCTCTGTCAGATTGGTTACATTTTTCTCTACTAGCTTTTTTTTTCTGTCAGCTCCTGCATTGTTTTATCATGAATTTTAGCCTCCTTTGATTGGGTTTCAACATACTCCTATAGCTCAGTGATCTTCATTCCTATCCACATTCTGAATTCTATTTGTCATCTCTGCCATATCAGCCCTGTTCAGAACCTTTGACAGAAAGATGATGTGGTCATTTGAAGGAAAGAATGGACGCTGGGTTTTTGAATTGTCAGAGATCTTGTGCTGATTCTTTCTCATCTTGTGGACTTATCTGCCTTCAATCTTTGAGGCTGCTGGCCTTTGGATTTTTTAATGCTATTTAATGACCTTGAGTGTTTGATCATGGTATAAGATAGATTCAGCTAAATAGGTTTATTTCTGGAAGATTTTATGGGGCCAATGTTCAGCTCCCAATGCCTGGGCTGCATGCTTTAACTCTGGGAAACTTGTATTGGGCCCTGACTTTGTTCTCTGGCTCCTCAATGTTAGGAATTCACTGCACTGGGGAGGCCATGGCACTCCCATACCACTGGTTACTACACTCCCATGGATAATGTAAGCCAAAGCATTTTGTAGTGTGGTGACAGTGAGATCTGTCCTTGTAGCGGCAGCTGCAGCAGAGTGCTAGTGCATGCTGGGCTGCCTGTCTCCCTGCCAGCATTCACCACAGTGGTGGATGCAAGGAAGCTTGGGGGCCAGGTGGGGAACTCTGCTGGTTACTGTGTGCATGGTCATGCTGGCGATGGTGTTGGCTCAGGGGCAAGGCACTGGCAGGTGCAGGTCTGAATGCCTTTTCTGCCCTGCAAGCAGGAGTGGACACTCAGGGCAGGTGAGGGAGGAGATCTGCTGTCTCTATGCAGTTAGTGTAAGGGTGGTGTGCTGGTACGGGGCAGGACTGGCTAGCTCTGTGCCCACCAAGGCTCCATTCACAATGGTGGTCGATGGCGGGGAGGGGATAGACTGCACTTCTGCACGTTTGTGAGGCAAGAAAACCAAAACCCACCCCTGCCATTACATTCCAGCAAAGCGATGTTGGTGCTATATGGGGGCCTGGGGGAAGCTGCAGTATGGGGTGGGAGAGTGCAGGCTGGTGTGTGGCCATAGGGGCTGCCCCACTGGAGCTCTTTACTGGTCAGCCACAATCCACCAATGTAGAAGCTATGGTGCAGACAACCAGGGCAACTGCAACTACCCTGCATGCAGGCATGGCCAGGTTGGGGTCCTGGGAGAGGCCAGGAGATCAATGGGTACCCAGGTCAGACTGGCCCCATCTGATGGGCAAGACCACTGTGCAGAATTCAGGTCTGACAGTTCCCCTAGAGCTAAAGTCTCCTATGGCAGCAAGTTGAGCCTAGGGGGATGGCTGTATCTGGCCATGCTCTGCTATCGATGTTCCAGCACCAAACCCTCTGGGCTCCACATCAGCTGGCTTGCTGCCCCTACCACTTCTCTAAGCAGCTCTCCTTGCCAACCTGTATGTCTGTGGTGGTCAAGGAGTCATCCCTTGATTGGGCTCCAGATGCCTGTGGCAACGGCAATTTGCTCCCTGCCAGATCAACTCACCCATTCCCCAGGAGCTGTTGAGGGCCAGGAATGATTCCTGGTGTCTGGTAGACCCATGCAGGGTTCTCAGCTTTCTCTACTTTCAGCCAAGCTTCTGTGTCTTTCCTCTGTCCAATCTCAGTGCCTTCCCTTTGAAGATTTGTTAGGAGCATACCAGTGGTCTCTGTCTCTTGGTAAGAGCTGTTCCACCTGGCTGTATCTAGCTGGCCATCTTGCATTTCCTGCACAGGTATTTTTTAATAACAACACAAATGGATTTTGACAAGATAGTAAAGGAAATCCCATGTACCTTTCCAAGTTTTTAATGAAATTATCTGAAGATTCTGCAGTGGTCAGGATATTTATTTAATCCACCAACCTTTGTCTTTCAATTCCATAAAAATGATGAATGACTAAGTATTAATATCCATTCACTGTACATTAATATTTTAAATAGTTCAAGTTTCCTATTTATTGAAGAAAATATCTATAAAACTAACTATCATTATTATAGTCCCTCTCTGAAGAACATTTTTCACTAAAAGTAGCAAATGGAAAGGAATTAGTGGTTATATATAATGATAACAGTATCTTCAAAAATGTTTGGTGTTCTTTACTTCTCAGAGCTATTTAGATATATAGACATGAACACTTTTCTGTGATATCTTTGCTTTTTGGAGAAAGAAAATAATCTTTAGAGTTGTGGTATCACTGAATCTTTTATTAATAGCCTCACAATTCCCACAAGTGCATTTACTTTGTGATTCTGTCTGCTATGGACCCAGACAAGATTGAGAACTCTGGTGTTTGCTATTTTCTTCTTTAGTTGTTTTTTTTTTTTCTATTCATGGGAGGAAAAAATAAAACTGATTAGCAGAGCATATGAAATGTATATGAATCTTACTGTCTCTAAATTGGGATTCTACTCATGCTATTATATTTCCCTACTTCATTATCTTTTTGTTAATTTTGGCCATTCCTGTGTTCTCTCAAAGGAGAGATCTAAGAATTGTACAGATTTTAAAACATCCAGGTAATAAAATTAGAGAAATTAATGATGTAACTGTTGCTATTTTAAGTACTAATAATCTAAAACTTCACTCTGCATATCTGAATTACAGTTGAGCATATGATTAACTTCTTATATGGTGACATTTCAGATGCACCCCTTCAAAATATGACAGCATGTATATGTGAGTATGTACTATACATTTCTAATTCTCAGACAAAAGTGGGTATTTTCTCTGAGAATCTGAAAGTTTATGTTTAAAATGAAAATAGAATCAAGGTTTTTTAAGTATTACATGCCAAACATGGACTGCTTTGGAAATATTGTTAATTATAGATATTGCACACATACTCATATATATAGAATGTATGGTCTTAACCAGTATTCACACATACACACATACACACACCCACACACATACACATATACACACTCAGTGTGTTTTATTAAAGGGTGGAGTACTTGACCCTGTTAAGGGTGGAGACCCTGATCTACATTCTCAGAAGTGAGTCAATTGAGTTAAAATCTCAGAATAGTCAAAAAATATTAAGGAAACAAAGAGTAAGTGCCGGCCTTTTCTGCAACTGTGGTCATAGGGACTCTAATGCATAAGCTCTTTGATTTTCTGGAAACCATAAGGGATTATCCTTTCATAGGAAATTTTATCTCAGAACTTTGTGAAGGCTTCTAGGAGAAACTTCTGTAAATTGCCTTTTTTTCAGGAGAAGAACACAATGTTTGTCTGGGGACGTTTCAATCAATTTTATCTGAACCTCAAAGGCACATGTAATCTAAAAACGGTAAAGAATCATTGCCTCAAGAGAATAAAGATTGTAGAACTATTGAGGTAAAACAATGATACACAAAGAAACAAATGTAGGGTGTGTGTCTGTGTTTGTGTGTGTGTGCTTTGAAAAGGAGGGGTTCCTAGGGAAAGCAATCCTGCAGGAAGCTTGAAGAAACTTTGGATATTTGTTTAAAGAGAAACTCTGAGTTTCTCTATAAGGATTAATCTCTGGTATTTTTTATCTTGCCCAAATTCTTACCTAAGGGGCCTGGGGAGTCACACTCTACAAATCATAAAGTCTCATCGGGGGGGTTTGTTTAACTCTGTATAATGTGACATGCTTTCCAACTTGACTTTGGCATAACATCACATAAAAAATAAGAGAATAAATACAAATATTTTAACCCCAAATATATTTCCTTGTCATATCTTGAAATTGCCCTGCAAGGTTGTCTCTTGTCAGAAAAATCCACATTCTATAGAGAATCCGCTTCCCCCAACCTTTTTCTTCTTTCTTTCAAGACCCAGGATATAATCCAGTAAGAGCCAGGCACCATTTTCAGTCTGTGATAAGAAACATTTTACAACGTGCTCTTTCTAAAGTCAGCTCTCTGAGAGCTTCCTCTGAACAATAAAACTTGGTATCCACAACTCTTTACCTTAACCTAAACATTTCCTTCCTATTGATCCCAGGTCTTTAGATAAACTCAACCAATTGTCAACCAGAACATTTTAAAATCCACCTATAAGATTCTCTGGACCTCCTGAGGGTTGTGTCATGGGACATGGTCACTCATATTTGGCTCAGAATAAATCTTTTCAAATACTTTACAGAATTTGACTGTTTTCATTGATGTCTACTTTTGAGATACCCAGCAAGACCCGAGTGATTTTAATTTTTTTCAAACCATACGATTTGCATAAAATATCCTTTACTTAATTTTCATTATTATTCTCTTGCTTACACATGATGGTCAGTTGGGCTAACCTTGAGAACCAATTTCTTTTAAAATCCATTTATGCTACTATATGCTCAGAAAATCAATTGATCTGTCAATTTAGCAGACAGACATGTTGGTGAGGTACCTAATAAAGATTGACAAAATAGTAAATGTGATGTATTTCAATTTAATTAAACTTACTTAGAAATATATTCATCTTTCTGTTTTTTTTCGTTTTTTTTTTTTTTTTTTTTTTTTTTACTTTTATCTTGCCTTTCTTTTTTTTAACTTTTATTTTAAGTTCAGGGGTACCGGTGCATGCAGGATTTGCAGGTTTGTTACATAAGTAAATGTGTTTCATGGTTTTTTTTTTTTTTTTTTTTTTTTTTTACAGATTATATCATCGCCCAGGTATTAAGCCTAGTATCCATTAGTAATTTTTTCTCATCCTCTCCCTCCTCCTACCCTCTACCCTTGGATAAGCCCCTGTGTGTGTTGTTCCCCTCTATGTGTTCATGTGTTCTCATCATTTAGCTCCCACTTATGAGAACATGACGTATTTGGTTTTCTGTTTCTGTGTTAGTTTGCTACGGAACATGGCCTCCACCTCTATCCACATCCCTGCAAAGGACATGATCTCATTATTTTCTGTGGCCACATAGTATTCCATGGTGTACATGTACCACATTTTCTTTATCCATTTTACCTTTAATGGGCGTTCATGTTGATTCCATGTCTTTGCTATTGTGAATAGTGTTGCAATGAACATACACATTCACGTGTCTTTATAATAGAACAATTTATACTCTTTTGGGCATATACCCAGTAATGGGATTGCTGGGTGAAATAGTATTTTTGTTTTTAAGTCTTTGAGGAATCACCCCACTGTCTTACAGAATAGTTGAACTAATTTACACTCCCACCAACATAAGTGTTGCTTTTTCTGGACAGCCTCACCAGCATCTGTTTTGTTGTTGTTGTTGTTGTTGGCTTTTTAATAATAGCCATTCTGACTGGTGTGAGATGATATTTCATTGTGATTTTGGTTTGCATTTCTCTAATGATCAGTGATGTTGAACTTTTTTTTCATATGATTTTTGGCCACATGTATGTCTTCTTGTGCAAAGTGTCTGTTTATGTATTTTGTCCACTTTTTAATTGGGTTGTTTGTTTCATGTAAATTGGTTTAAATTCCTTATAGACGCTGTATAGTAGACCTTTGTCAGATGCATAGTTTGCAAAAATTTTCTCCCATTCTCTAGGTTGTCTGTTCACTCTGTTGATAGTTTTTTTTTTCTGTGCAGAAGCTCTTAAGCTTAGTTATATTTTATTTTCAATTATTGCTTTTGTTGCAATTGGTGTTGGCATCTTTCTCATGAAATCTTTGCCTGTGTCTATGTCCTGAATGTTATTGCCTGGGTTTTCTTTCAGGGTTTTAATAGTTCTTGGTTTTACATTTAAGTCCTTAATTCATCTGGGATTTTTTATATGATATACGTAAGGGGTCCAGCTTCAATTTTCTGCATATGGCTATCTAGTTATCCCAGCGACATTTATTGAGTAGGGAATCCTTATGCCATTGCATATTTTGTCTGCTCTTTTGAAAATCACATGGCTGTAGGTGTGTGGCCTTAGTTTTAGGCTCTCTGTTCTGTTTCATTAGTCCAACTATGTGGCTGTTTTTGCACCAGTACCATCTTGTTTTGGTTACTGTAGCCCTGTAATATAGTTTGAAATTGGGTAGCATGATGCCCCCAGCTTTGTTCTTTTGGCTTAGAATTGCCTTGGCTATTAGGGCTCTTTTTTGATTCCACATGAATTTCAAAATAGTTTTCTCTAGTTCTGTGAAGAATGTCAGTGGTAGTTTAAAGGGAATAGCATCAAATTTATAAATTGCCCTGGGTAGTATGGTTATTTTAACGATACTGATTCTTCCTATCCATGAGTATGAAATATTTTTCCATTTGTTTGTGTCATCTCTGATTTTTGTGAGCAGTGGTTTATAGAGTTCTTCTTGTAGAAATATTTTACCTCCCTTGTTATCCATAGTCATATATATATATATAGCCATTGTGAATGGGAGTTCATTCGTGATTTGGCTCTCAGCTTGACTTGTTGTATAGGAATGCTAAAGACGTTTGCTCATTGATTTTGTATCCTGAGACTTCGTTGAAGTTGCTTACCAGCTTAAGAAGATTTTGGGTTATTTAGCTCTTTCTTTACATTACCCCAATGTGAGATATGATGACAACTATTATTGCATAATTGTTTCAGTCAGCTGCTTCAATTCCAACTATTTTGCAATGCAAAGCATCCATTAATCAAAATATTAACTATATATTGCAAATTTATTTTGGTTACATGTTATTTCTCGCAATTGACACATGGATAAAATATAATTTTAATGTTTAAATTGATCATGAAAAATCCATTCTATTTTCTATACATCAAATACCAATGCCTTTTGGGTGGGGTATGTGTGTCTGTGTGTGTGTCTATATACATAATATATACCCAAACTTTATATGTGTACACAATTTACATATATAAGGTGTATTTTATATACATATATACATATTTACATGTATATAAAATATACTTTATCTCATAATATGCTATTAAATGATGTCAGAAATCCACTTTTAGAAAAAAACATCTAATTTTAAAGCTTTTGACAAAATTTTACAGGAGTCAAATAAATGGTTATTTTGGAAAGTGGTTCCCAAATTTTGAAAATGTGCTATGTTTTGCAATTATTCTCATATGGCATGTTGATAAAAAATTAATCATATTTATACCTCTTGTCACTGCTCAGCTACAATAAATGACAGGTTTCCATGATGCCAAACCATCCAAGAAACTATTTCCTGTAAGCCTTGTCAGAAATTTACGAACATTAGATATGTTCTTGACTATAGTTCAGATATGGATTTCCAGTATTGTGTCATATATGCATAAACACTTTTCAACTACTTTTGCTCTTTGGAACTTTTAAAAGGTCAGAAGTAATCAGATCACCTAGTAGGTTACTATATGTCATAGTAATAGTCTTGAGACCTCATACATAGAAAATGATGCTCAATATTAACTCTGACATTTGAATGAGGGGCTGATCACCTTGAGCACTGCAGCTTTATTACTACTAAGCCACATAATATCTTGAAATGCCTTTGGGTAACTTTTTTGCGTTAATATTTGGGGGGAATTATTAAAGTGTTTGCAAATTATCTTTCCCCATTGGAGATAATGTAGTTTATAGTTTATTGTGTTTTAATATATTACCCATCGAAAATTCACCACATAACTTCACCATTTTTTAAATATGCAACTAGAGTCCCAAACTGCTCTTGTTATTTTATTTTCCCCCCCTTTATTGAGGTATATCTGACAAATGAAAATTGTATGTATTAGCAAAATTGAAGTTTCATGTGATATCTTTAGGAAGAATGTTAAAGGATCTAGGTAAAACTCACTTAGGGAATAAATGAATTATCTATTTTTGATTTTCATTAGAAACTGTGTGAAACTACAGTAAGAAGCATGTAGAATAGAGGCAGCATTTTAAATACTGGCATGCACTAATTAGTTAAGAGTATTTGCATATATATTCTTAAAAGCATATCCGGAATGGTTTGAGTGAAACACTGCCTGTTCATAATGAAAGATAGTACATTATCTTATGAAGTTCCTCCTGGATTATGCTTTGCTTGCAATATTTATACACATTATTAGAAATAAAGGAACACAACCATGAAGTAATTCCATGACCATGTAGTTTATCTGAGATATGATTAAACTTATGATGAACAGTACAGAAGCACTAACTTGCAGACATTAACTATAATTATCCTGTAAAATATTAACTTATATGTTCCATGGTCCAATTCAGATATGACAATTATATTTTATTTACTGCTTTTCACTTACAAGTGTGATGATTCATTTTCTCTTCTACTTTCAGAGATTTTGTGTTTGATAGCCTGTATTTTCCTACATATTTTATTATCTAATGGTCAGGTATATTAATTGCTGTTAAGTGTAGGATTATTGAAATTTTAAGCTTGTATGTATTGTTATTTGTTACTTCAATATGAATATTTCCCTGCAAGAAACTATTATATAATATGTATATTTTGCATGCATTTTAAAATAATACATTTAAGAAAAGTTGCAGTTTTTTTATGTTTAAAATTTTATTTTACTTTAAGTTCTGGGGTGATACATTGTGCAGGACGTGCAGGTTTGTAACATAGGTAAACGTGTGCCATAGTGGTTTGCTGCACCTAGTTATTAGGCCCCCCCATGCATTAGCTATTTATCTTGATGGTTTCCCTCCCCTCGCCCCCACCAACAGGCCCCAGTGTGTGTTGTACCCCTCCCTGTGTCCATGTGTTCTCATTTTTCACCTGCCACTTATGAGTGAGAACATGCAGTGTTTGGTTTTCTGTTCCTGTGTTAGCTTGCTGAGAATGATGGCTTCCAGCTTCATTCATGTCCCTGCAGAAGACATAATCTTATTCCTTTTTATAGCTGCATAGTATTCCATGGTGTATATGAATCACATTTTCTTTATCCAGTCTATTACTGATGGGCATTTGGATTGGTTTCGTGTCTTTGCTATTGTGAATAGTCCTGCAATAAAAATACATGTGCATGTATCTTTATAATAGAATGATTTATTTTCTTTTGGATATATACCCAGTAATGGGATTGCTGGGTGAAATGGTATTTCTGGTTCTAGATCCTTGAGGAATCACCAAACTGTCTTTCACAATTGTTGAACTATTTTACATTCCTACCAACAGTATAAAAGTGTTCCTATTTCTCTACAGCCTCACCAGCATCTGTTTTTTCTTGACTTTTTAATGATTGCCATTCTGACAGATGCGATGGTATCTCATTATGGTTTTGATTTGCATTTCTCTAATGATCAGTGATGTTGAACTTTTTTTCATGTGTTTGTTGGCCGCATAAATGTCTTCTTTTGAGAAGTGTCTGTTCCTGTCCTTTGCCCACTTTTTGATGAGGTTGTTTTTTTCTTGTGAATTTAAGTTTCTCGTAAATTCTGGATATTAGACCTTTGTCAGATGGGTAGATCGCAAAAATTTTCTCCCATTCTGTAGGTTGCTTGTTTGCTCTGATGATAGTTTCTTTTGCTGTGCAGAAGCTCTTTAGTTTAACTAGATACAATTTGTCAATTTTTACTTTTATTGCAATTGCTTTTGGCAATTTCATCATAAAATCTTTGCCCATGCCTATGTCCTGGATGGTATTGCCTAGATTTGCAGTGCATTTTAAAGGCCTCCTTGGCAATATTGCCTTTTATCATTTTTCAAATTGAAGGCATACTAAAAATTGCTGTAGTTTCAGTCTGTTTTCATGCTGCTGATAAAGACATACCAGAAACTGGGCAATTTACAAAAACAAAAAAAAAAAAGTTTAATGAACTTACAGTTCCACATGGCTTGGGGAGCCCTCACAATCATGACAAAAGGCAAGAAGGAGCAAGTCACATCTTACATTGATGCTGGATGACAGCAGGCAAAGAGAGAGGTTGTGTAGGCAAACTCTTGTTTTAAAGCCATCAGACCTTATGAGACTTATTCACTATCACAAGAACAGTATGGGAAAAACTCGCCCCCATGATTCAATTACCTCCCACTGGGTTTCTCCCATGACACATGGAAATTGTGGGAGTTACAATTCAAGATGAGATTTGGATGGGGACACAGCCAAACCATATCGGTGTGCTAGAATTCAACAACGATGTAAACAAATATGGATACGAAAACACACAAAAAGACAAACATATAAATAAAATTTTTACTATAATGAAGGTTAAGACTCAATTGTAAATAAAAAAAAGCATAATTAAGACTCAGTTTACAAGTCCATTATGATTTCAAATGAATCCTTGATGTGAACTATGATATGAACATCAACTGTATACCTTTTGGAAATGGAAATGAAAAAGTTAATGTTACTTAGTTGAGGGCATTAAAAGTCTTAATGGAAGCAGACTCTATCACTTAATGTAACTTAAAATGACTGTGTAACTGAGATTGAAATTCTTTTATTGCTAGTTTGATCACTCATGAACAACAGCTAGTTTTCCACTCTTTACATATCAGCCTTTATCTATTTATTCATCTATCCAGACACATACATATATATATATATATATATATATATATATAATATGTATGTAGATATACAATCATGTAACACATAATGATATTTCTGTCAATGACAGATCATATATACAATAATGGTCCATTAGATTATAATGGAGCTGAAAAATTTCTATTGTCTAGTGATGTCTTAGCCATTTTAGTGCAATGCATTAGTCACATGTTTGTGGTCATGCTGGTGTAAACAAACCTACTGCGCAGCCAGTAGTATAAAAGTATAGCACATACAATTATGTATGGTGCATAATACTTGATAATGATAATAAACCACTAAATTATTGGTTTATGTATTTACTACACCATAGTCTTTATTGTTATTTTAGAGTGTACTCTTTCTACTTATTTAAAAAGTTAACTATAAAACAGCCTCAGGCAGGTTCTTCATTAGGTATTCCAGAAGAAGGCACTGTTATCATGGGAGATGACAGCTCCGTGCATATTGTTGCCTCTGAAGACCTTCCAGTGAGGCAAGATATGAAGGTAGAAGACAGTGATATTGATGATCCTGACCTTGTGTAGCCCTAGGATAATGTGTGTCTTTGTGTCTTAGATTTTATAGGAAAAAAAGCTTATAGAATAAGGACATTAAAAAGAAAATATTTTTGTACAGCTGTACACTGTGCTTGTGTTTTAAATTGTTATTATAAAAGACTCAAAAAGTTAAAAAAATTGAAAGTTTATAAAATAAAAAATTTAGAGTAAGGTAAAATTAATTGATTATTAAAAAAAAGAAATTTTTACAAAGTTAGTATAGCTTTAAGTATCTACAGTATGGTCATGTCCTAGGCCTTCACATTTACTCACAACTCATTCACTGACTTACCCACAGCAATTTCCTGTCCTGAAAGTTTTATTCCTAGCTAAATGCCTTATAAAGGTGTATCAGTTTATTAATCTTTTATACCATATTTTTTCTGTACCTCTTCTACATTTAGTTATGTTCAGAATACACAAATACTTACCATTGTGGTACAGTGCCTACAGCGTTCAGTACAGTAACATTATGTACAGGTTTGTAGCCTAGGAGAAATAGGCTATAGCATATAGCCTATTTGTGCTATAAATAGTATACTATGTAGTAGGCTATACTATCTAGGTTGTATAAATATACTCTATAATGTTTACACAATGATAAAATTGCCTAATGTTGCATTTCTCAGAATGCATCCCCATAGATAATAGATGTACGACTAGATAGATAAATATAGATAGATAGATATCCATAATTGTCACAAAAAATTATTAGCTAGGAAACAAATATAATCTTTATTTATAGATAGAAAACTGAATGTCAAGAGAAGCCACTTATTTCTGATAAAAGTGGTGAAGACGGAGTAGGTTAAAAATAGGTAAACTCAAGTGAGTTACCAACTAGCTACTGTATCTTATAGTATGAGTAAGTACTTTAACGTAAATCCTCCTTTTCTGCCACTTACATGAGGCAGATTTACATAATATCATTCTACTTCATGTTGACCTCTTAAAGAGACATATGCCCCTCTATAGAGAGCTACCATACAAACAACGCTGCATTACTTGAGGGTCCATGAAAGGAAAAATCAAGCTATTTTATAAAGTGATGACATCTTAAGGGATGGGTGAGGTAAAAAGTAGTCCCATAGATCAATCTGATGTGACAAGCAGGATAAAATTTTCGAAGACTGACAATTGTGAAATCAGACTGCCTGATTAACATCCTTACTCAACCACTCAGTTGTGTTACCCTAGGAAATTGCCATCACCTCTGTGCCTCAGTTCTCTCATTGGTAACATTGGGATAATAATAATATATACTCTGTGGGGTTGTTGTAAGAATTAAATTAGAAAAATCATGTTAAGCATTTAGCACAATGCTTTACCTTTAGCAAACATGTACTAAATGTTAGCTTTTATTATTATTACTATCAATCTTACTAAGCTCTATTAGAGCATATTTGCACATCCATTATTTTGGCTACTGTTGGTGAATCAAAATGTGAATTGCTGAAGGAGGTTTGATACATTTTTCTTACAGCGAGAGCAATATTGCAAATGAAATGGAATAGGAGTCCCTCTTAGGGGCCTGCCAGGTTGCTATCCCCTCTTCAAAGCATGGGAATAAAGAAAGATTTGCATCCCTTCATGGGAAATTCCATGCACCTAGCTAGCTTTGCAACCAGCAGCTTGGCGAAGCAAATAAACTGCTAAGCAAGAAGGTAATAATAGCTTAAACAATAGTCACCCATAGAGAGATATGAGACATCAAGCAAATACATTTAGGATACAAATTGGTTTGGTCCAGAAAGGCACGATAACTTTAAGCAGGTGGGTAGGCTTCCAGGTTATAGGTAGATTTAAAATTTTTTGAACTTGCAATTGGTTAAAAGAATTATCAGTGGAAAGTAATGCCTTGCTTTTGATTAAAAGGTTGTGGAGACCAAAGTTTTATCATGCAGATAAAGCCTCCAGGTAGCAGGCTTCAGAGAGAATAGACTATCAATGTGTTTTTGTTGTTGTTGTTGTTGTTGTTGTTGTTGTTGTTTAAATCAGGCTTAAAGTCTGTGTTGATGTTAAATGCTGGTTGACTTTTCCTGAATTCCAAAAGGGAGGAGGGCATAATGAGGCATGTCCAACCCTCACTTCCAGTCATGGCCTGAACCAGTTTTTTAGGTTAACTCTGAAATGCCACTTGACTGAAAAGAAGGGTCTGTGCAGATGGTTGAGAGGCATTAGAATTTTATTTTTGGTTTACAAGTTCAACAAGGAAATAAATAGTGGCTATATCCAAAGGTTGTTTTTTATTTATGGCTTTGCCAGATGTCCTTTCAGTAATAAGAAGATGTATTATATTTTCATAACATTACTCTATTAAATCAAGTTTAGCCTAAATCTGCCTCCTTGCATATTTTAAGTTTAGACTAATGGTTTCTCTGTACATTGTGAACTGTAACCTATAAAAGGAAAATACATCTTGGGGCTCCAAAATCACTAAGCTAAAGGGAAAAGTCAAGCTGGGAACTGCTTAGGGCAAACCTGCCTTTCATCCATTCTATTCAGTCATCCCTCTACCCACTGAGATAAATGCATATCTGATTGCCTCCTTTGGAAAGGCTAATCAGAAATTCAAAAGAATGCAACCATTTGTCTCTTATCTGACTTTGACCTGGAAGACCCTCCTCATTTTGAGTTGTCCTACCTTTGCTTCGAGTTCTCTCCCCTTTCCAGACTGAACCAATGGTTATCTTACGTATGCTGATCAATGTCTCATGTCTCCCTAAAATGTATAAAACCAAGCTGTGCTGGGACCACCCTGCGCACATGTCATCAGGATCTCTTGAGGCTATGTCATGCGCACACATCCTTAACTTTGGCAAAATAAAATTTCTAAATTTACTGAGACCTGTTTCAGATATTCAGGGTTCACAAACCTAAATAGAGTTGTAAACAGACTGTAGCCTACTCTTGTGCCAATCACTGACTTTTGGGCAGTCAAAGGTAGCCAACTTTTCAAACAGTGTTCAAATATTACAAATGCTAAGCTTAACCAATCTGGCTGTTTCTGTACCTCACTTGTTTTCTGTACATCACTTTCATTTTTCTGTTCATAAATCTTCTTTCACCACATGGCCGTGCTGGAGACTCTGAGACTACTCTGGCTTAGGAGTCTCCCTAATCTACACATTTTTCTTTGCTCAACTAAACCCTTAAATTTAAGTCAGCTAAAGTTTTTCTTTCAACAAATGATATCAGAAGTGGGATACAAAGTAGAGCTTCTAACAGCCCCCATGTGTGCTGAGTGACCAAGCAAGGTACACACTGGGCCCATAGTGTCCATTGGTCTCTCAGAGCAAATGGGGAACGTGGTAAGTTCTCTCTCAGATTCTGAAGCTCCATAGATAAGTGTTTTGCACTCCCCGAGTTTCTTTGAGCAAATTTCTGATCCACACTGCATCTGGAAGTCATAACAGAAACTGGACTGAGTCCAGGATTGAATTGGATCCAATAATTAACTGGCTTACATGCAGTTAGAGGTTTCTTACGTCTGACCAGGTCAGAAAGAAACCAGTAGTAAATGGCAATACTTCAGGGGGTATAAAATTTGGCTTTTGAAAATTCTCAGGGATTTTCATGTTCTACCCTCTCTGTTTTATTTTTCTTGTACACTTAGATAGGGAAAAAAAAATAATGGTTAAGTTGACCAAGGGATCCTGAGAGCCAAAGCCAATATTTGAGGAGAAATTGGATCCTTAATTTCTGAAGAACTGAAGAGACGAGAAGTCTTACTATCAAAGGTTTTTCTCAATTGAAGGGTTCGTGGTCTCATGGGCTTGAAGGAATGAAGCTGTGGACCGCAGCAGCAAGTGTTACAGCTTGATCAGAGAAACGCACGGACCCAAAGAGTGTGTGGCACCAAGATTTATTAAAGTGAAAGTGAAAGTAAAGCAAAATCGAAAGTGAGAGTAAAGCTTCCACTTGGTGGAAGGGGACCCAGAAGGGTTTCCGTTTCTGGCTTGGGTGTCTTATGCTTATATCTCCTTATGACCCCTCCCCTTTTCCTGTTCTATAGAATTAGCTTATTTTCTATCTGCTTGTGGGTTGGCGGGCCTGATTGGATAAAAAATCAGCCTGCAGTTAGAGCTTAAACTCCCTATATGATTGGTTGAAGTTTTAATCCCTTAGCTTGCAGCCGTGACTCATTTTGGCTTAGGGGAAAGTCCCCTTTGATTGGTTGAAGTTTCAATCCCTTAGCTTGTAGCTATGACTAATTTCGGCTTAGGGGAAAGTCCCCTTAGGGAAGTCCCTATTGACCCAGGAAGTCCAGCCAACTTAGCCACTTAGTCCCTCCCTTCCAGGTGGTACATGCCTAAGTATTAGGCCACAGAAGGAGCAGTCTTACAGAAATGGTGAAATCTCACTAAAGATATAAGTTACAGTGGGACACTCCACTTGTACAACATTGCACTTAAAAAGTGAATTTGAAAATTAGGGCTGCCAAATTAGTCTTACCTAGGAATGCCTATTGATATTCAGTAGCTTCTAAAATATTTTAATATTTCTATTTAAAGTCTTCATGAAAGGCAAATATAAAGCTTAAGTGACTAATTGATAAGAAAAATGGAATTGGCTAACCTTTTTGGCTTAGTTACTACCCAGCTTTGAAGGTGGAAAGGAAGCTATGCTAGATGAGGTGTTTATAAAAGGTAGGACCTCAGATAAAAAAGGCTTGCTTCTTTTTCAGATGTGTTCATGCTGACTCCAGGCATACAAAATGCTTTCTTGGCTCTGTCCCTTATTGGACTCCACCTATTTCCCTGAATTCAGTAATTTTAGCTAAGAAGTACTAACTAAGTTAAAAAGAACACCCTATTGAACTAAAATACACCTTTCTAAAATTTAATTGGCTATCTTTAAACTCTTTTGTAAAAGAAATTTATATCTATAATAGAAATTTCCATTTTTAAGGATGTCTGCCTATATATAGTAAAATTCTTACCATTATTTTAAATTTATATAGTAAGTCATATCTTTGTTTAAGGTGCTTTTCTGGCCATCTTGTCTTAAGTGAGCTTTTATTTAAGAATTGTTTTTCTTTGGTTTGAGCAAAGGATGAAACAATATTTAGGCCCAAAATTTTAGCTCTGTGCTTATGAAATATAATTCCTTTCCACCTAAGAGTTGTCCCTTTAGCATTGCAAATCTGTTGCTTAGTTAACAATTGCTCAGAACAATGAAACAGGTAATTGGAAGACTGGTAGACCAAATGGGGAAAAGTATTTAAAAGCCGACAATTAAAAATTATTTATGAGATAAGATTTGCTTCTGTGTGTTTGATATTTGGTAAATAAAGCTAGTTCTTAAATTGTTTGTAAAATAGAAATGGCTTCAAAGTTATCCATTAAGTATTATTAGACAGTTGCTTTATTTGACTGTGAGATTATGTCTTTGGTTAAGAGTCTTTGGATTCAGGGGTCTTAATAGGTGACCATGATGAGGTCTGGAGACATGTTTTTAGTGCCTAGAACAGCAGCTACAAGCCAGAATCAAGCCCAGTATGACCCCTTCTTCCTCTGCTTTCTCTGTTTTTCCTCCTAGCTATTTTGTTAGGGGTTGCAACCTCCAGGGATAGTCTTCATAGCTCTGTCTTCTGTCCTGACAAACTCAGAAAGGCCCTGACCTTCATAGTCCTCCTCAGCTCCATGGCTACTTGGGACCTAGTATAACTTGAGGAGGACATTAGGGAGGCTACCTGTGTCATAGTTTCAAAATTCTTTTCAGAAATTTAAAATGTTAGAGATATTAAGTTAAATTAAGTAATGAATAATCGTAAAATGTCTAAGTCATCTGTAAGTTAAAATACCAAAATATTAATTATTAAACATGGGTTTAAGACTGTGTACCTTGACATGGTAGTTTTATACGGTAAAGAAAAGCTAAATATATTTAAATATGTTAATAAATAATAATTTGAAAAAGTATCCTTCCAAAAATTATAAAATTATATTTATTTACAAATACTGATATAAAAGAGTCCAAAATTACTTCTAGGGTTTTCACTAGAAGTTAGGGTTACTAAAAGTTTAAAAAAAAAAAAACACTAGATATGGGAGAAACAATTCTGTATACAGAGTTTTTAAGCAAAAGCAAAACATGCATCTGATGAGGAAAGTTATAAAGGCATAAAAATGTATGTTAAATATATTTTTTTCTAGGTTGAAGTTACATAAAGATTTCAAATTGAAGGAGAAAAAATAGATAAAACAAGATGAATGTAAAAGTTGGGGAAAATCATGTCTTTAAGGACATTCATGAAAGGATGAAAAGAACCCTAAGAAGCACTCTTGAATAAAGCTTTCTGATAACTTTAGAATCATATCATTTGGACTGGGTAAGGATTCCCAGAACTTTAATAAATAGACTGGTTTATAAAACTGCTAGCCCAAGCAGAACAAAAACTAATTAAGTACTAAGAAAACACTTTTCCAGATTTTCATGCTAAATCCGCCAGGACCGAAATTGTTTGGATATGCAATTTGAATGAGCTGCATCATCTAAGTCAAATTACCTATGATAACCCTTCAGTTATCAGTGCTATACATCTAAATTGGAGAGACAACTGGTATTCAAGAGGACATAAGTCCAATGTTATGCATGGACAATGGAGAACTAGGATGTCTACCTTATCCTTCCTGAGTCCTTAAAGATTTTGTTATTAAGAGTTCTGCATTCCATGACTTACTGTGAAAAATATAAAATAATCCAAATGTTTTATATATATAAATATATGTGCATATAAATACATGTGTGTATATATGTGTATATACATATACATGTGTATATGTATATACATATATACACATACGTGTGTATATATACACGTGCGTATATACACACGTGTGTATATATGTATATACATGTATACACACACATATACACACATATATATATTCATGATTTGGAATAAATGAGGCAATGATTGAAATATATATAATTGCTAAAATAGTTTATGACCAATGTTTCGTTTCTCAAACCCACATTCCTGAAAAAACAATCAAAACTTCAGGTACATTCTGCTACTTGATGGATCATTTAAACATTTATAGAGGGATTTCATTCAATTGTCATTTAAATGCATATTTTCTGATTGTATAAAAGCTTTCCCATGCAAGAGGCTTGATGTTATAACAGTAGCTCATTATGCCACCGTGTATTTTCATCAGGTAAAGAAAGCTTTTAATGATTTACTGACTGAGGACAATTAACCGGTTCACAATCTAGAACCCGAAGACTGGTTCTCCTGAGAACATCAGAGAAAGTCTATCCTTGCCATTCACACTGCAGAAAAATTTCAGAATCTTGAAACTTGGGTTCATAATCTCACAACTCAGAAGGTTCCCTCCACACTCTAGGAACTGCACACTCATTGCAAACCTTAAGGTAAAGATAACCAGGGAAGTTCCTCCCCAGAAAAAGATTACATCCTTGATGTGCACAGCTTTTTGCTAAGATCATGGATCAAGACTTCTGTACTATTATGTGACTATTATCTTTCCATTTTTTTGCATCACTTATGCCTCTGTGAACAATAGAAGTAAAATGAGGGTCTGTTGTGTGCACTCATGGGGTAAACTTTTATTTGTGAAAACTTTTGCAGCCAGACTTATATGTGCATAATCTTACGCTTTGATAGATGAAGATGAGAAATTGTAATGGTACCTATGTTGCGTCATAATCAGTCAGAAACAGAACATTGGCCTGCTACTCTTAACCTATGTCATGGGTTGAAAACATTGCCATGAGTTTTTCACTTTTCTAGAAGGGCATCATTCGTATGATCCTTTTCTTCCATGGTTTGAAGTAAATAAGGCAAATGATTACAAATGTCTTTCTCATGATAAGCTCTATAGCAAATTCTACTGTAAAGACTGTGGTTACACAACAGACTTTAAATTCTCTTGTGAAAGTTATGCTAAATAATAGAATTGCTCTAGATTGCTTACTGGCTAAACAGAGAAGTATCTGTGCAGCTTCTGCCATTTCTTATTGCCCATATAATAACACATCATACTGGATATTATAGAGATTCAGTTGCAGGAAATTAACAAAGATAATACTTAGTTAAAGCAAGTAAACTCTTTATCTAGCCCACTCTTTATTTGATTTCAGTTGGCTTGATTTATGGGGATCATGGGTAAGGAGCATACTCCAAACTCTTGGTATCGTTCTCCTGATAAGCATAATAGTAGTCTCTCTGGTGCATGGTATTCTCTCAAAGTTTTAAGTGTTTTCATGAAGCCATCTCCAGAATGTCAAATTGTCTCTCTTCAACTGGAATGACAAGAGCTGAAAGAAACGTGTGATCATGAGTGCACCATACCCTGTAAATGATGTGCTGAGACAGGAAACAAAAAATGATGGTAACTGAGAGTGGCACTGAGGCCCTAAGTTTTGGTCACATTCTCACCTAAGTGAGAACCTGGCCAGAAGAGGGGAGTTTTTAAACAAATTATGGTAAACTATTGTTTTGGACTGAGCTAATGCACTAGGCCACAATAGACCAGACCAAACCAAAATGCAGTAACTTGTGCTAAATGTGACATAATCAAGCTAGGACTTTAAGGAAACATATAGATCCTAGAACAGACCAGGTTTTGTTTTCTCTCCTATAAACAGGACATTCCAGAATAAGGGGGTACCCTCTACTCTAATCCTTACATAAAATAATGTGAAGTTCTTCTTCTCACCTTACAAATCCTACTGTTCTGCTGTTTCCCAGTGAGTTTAAAGACCAAATAAGTACATTTATGATGGTGATAGTGACATCAATGAATAAAATTTTGGTCAATCTTTCAAAATTGCTAGCATAACTAAGAGGGGGGATTGTTAAATCAAGTTTAGCGTAAAGATACCTTCTTACATATTTTAAGTTCAGCCTAAAAGGTTTCTCTGTTCATCATGAACTATAACCTAAATAGATTTGTAAACACACTATGGCCTACTCTTGTGCCAATCACCAAGTTTTGGTCAATCAAAGGTGGTCAACTGTTTAAACCCTGTTCAAATAAGGTGAATACTGAGCTGTAACCAATCTGGTCATTCTGTACCTCGCTTTCACTCTCTGTATGTCACTTTCCTTTTCCTGTCCTAAATCTTCTTCCACCACATGGCTACACTGGTGTCTCTGAGCCTACTCTGGCTCGGCAGACTGCTTGACTCATGAATTATTCTTTGCTCCATGAAACCCTTTTAATTTAATTTGGCTAAAGTTTTTCTTTTAAAAACTCTTACAAACTCTAGTTCAAAGTTCACTTTTGTCAGTATTTTTGATGCCACAGATTTGTTATCCTTCTTATAACAGTTTTTCTTTATTTCTTTCTCTACAAACTCACTCCAAATCAAACATAAATTTCTATTTTCTCAAGCTCTGTGCAAGCCACAAAAAAGTAGAAATTGTTTTTATAAAAGTAACAAAATGATTGCTGATAAAACACAGTGGCCCTTAGCCATAGTATATAAATAACCTGGTTTTTAGTGTTTTTGTCTTCTGGAGAGAATGCTAGAAACACTCAGATTCCCAGGAGGCTGGGAATAGTCTTGGAAGTGACATTAGCCTTCAAGTCGTCTATGGAACACAAACAGATGTGGTGCAAATATTTAGACCTTGGCTCTGGGGAGCTATGAGTTTCTAAATCACTATTGGGGCAGAGTAGAAATGCACATAATTGGCCATACCACAAGTAGTAAGGTATTTATAATTTGGTGAAATTTGAGACTTAATAAGCATGAGAGGTGTTTCAATAAAGAGAAAGCTTTTGTATTTAATATAGAAACCCAATGCCTGCAAGGACCAAGCTGGGAATCAAAATGTATGACACAGTCAGGTGGAAAGTATATAATTTCTCAGTGAGCAATTATGATCCATCCAACTGTTTGTTAGCTCCAGAGAATATACACCCATTATTTTTAATCTCCCAAATTTTCAAAACAATCAGAACATCAGATTTTCTCTGTGTTAATATTTGAATACATAACCCATATTTGCCATCCATTATACTGTTTGTTTGTGCCTGGAATGCTGATAAGAGAAATAAAAGATCTGACTTTATGCAGAACATTCAGCGTAGATGAGAGTTCTCTGCACTCCCTGTAATCATTTCCAAGGCCAATGAGATAGAATCCTGAGTAGAAGAATTACCTAAGGGTAAGTGATCTTAGGCCCAAGCTCAAAATTAGCCAATGGGCTCTCCACTATTGTTTCCAAAATGAGTGTTGCCTATATCACAACTAAGGTAACTTAGATGTTAGCTATAGTAGAATAAATACAGGTGAGAAAGTGTGATTATTATATATGATTCTGTTTATTTTCATTTTATTTATTCAGGATTTTTTGTGAAAATGATTTGCAAACCAAAATTATTTCATATAGCTAATTTTTTTATTTTGATTCTCTTACTTATTCATCAATATTTATCACAGAAATTATTATGTCTCCAGAGGCTTTTCTAATTTCAACAGTGTTCATTACTCTCTCCTCCCTTCTGTCTCCTTTTCATACTGGTTCCTGTCATTGCCTCTGTTGTAGTGTATCATGACTATTTATTTGAATGTCTGACCATTCTACTGTGAACTTCTTAAGGGCAAAGGCTGCATTTTAACCACTTCTTTTTTGCCAGTTCTTTACACAGTACCTGGCACATAGTAAGAAAATAGTGAGTATTTTTTAAATTGCATAAAATATGTCATGTGGGCATTTATTTAGCCTGATGGTATCATTTAATTAAATTGTGTGTTTGGAGCCAGGTGTGGTGGCTTGCACTTGTAATCCCAGCACTTTGGGAGGCTGAGGCATACTTGAGCCCAGGAGTTCAAGACCAGCCTGGGCAACATGGTGAAACCCCATCTCTACAAACAATACAAAAATTAGCCAGGTGTGATAGCACATGCCTGAAGTCCCAGCTACTTGGGAGGCTAAGGCAGAAAGATCACCTGAGCCCAGGGAGGTTGAGGCACCAGTGAGCTGTGATCATACAACTGCACTCCAGCCTGGAAAACAGAGTAAGACCTTGTCTCAGAAAAAAAAAAAAAAAAAAGAAAAGAAAAGAAAGAAAAGGAAAAAAAAAATGTGTGTTTGGGGGACATAATATGTGAGGTTTCCAGTTATAGTGTGAAGTATTAACTTTGTCTATGTTTATATTCACTTTGTCCATCACCCAGTGACTCAACTTCCTACTTAGTAAAACTTTAAACTACTATAAAATACTCTAATTTACTGAAAGTAGCAAGGTTTAGTTTCAAAAATTTTGTACTGTGTCAAGAAACATAGATTTGAATTCCAGCTTTTCCTTAACTTGTTCTGAAACTTTAGGCAAATTGCCTTTTTTGGCTGTTTTCTCATGGGTCGAATGGTAATAATAATATTTCTTGTACCTACTACATGGAGTTATGTGAGAAATAAACGCTGCCCAATACAAATAGTGGGGAGTTTAATCACTGATGTAATATATACTTTGCATATAGTCCTAGTAAATCTATTTTTATTTTTATTTGTCAACATATTTAAATAATTATTACACATGGTGAATTAGAAGATTAATCATAAATCCAGATTTATATTTAACATGCAGAAAATCTTTTTTCCTGATAGAGTGTTGTCCAAATAAGTTTCTATTTTAATTTACTGGTTATAATACAATAAATGCAATATAATACAATTTCAAAAAAAAGACCTTTAGGATGCAAATGACTACGATTCACCTTACAAAACTAATATTATGGCACTTACCAGTAATGTAACAGAGAGTAGATTTGCAAAGCATGTTTTCCAGATTGACATATTAATGCATGCAATTATATAATTATTATACCATTATTAGCTAATTTTGGTTACTCAGTTTTGTACTTTGTTCAATATTCACTGTCTGTTTAATCTGGGAACTGGTCATTGACATACTTGTAAAGGCAGGGTTCAGAATACGCATTGGTCAATAAAAGGCATTTCTCGGTAGAACTGTACTAACTACTCAAAACGTCAGTAATGGACTTTTGATTACTTTTCTTTTCACATATAGTGTTTGGAAGTGCCAAATTCAGTTGATAATTAATGGTTTTAATTAAAGCAAAACAAAACACTTGCTTTGGAGAAAATCTAAATGAACCAAGTCAAAAGGGATGTAATAAAAGAAGAATGAAACTACTATAAATAAAAAGGCAAATTCAGCTCAATATGCAGGGAATACATCAATGACGCAAAAAGCACCTGCCACTTAAATGTAATGTGAAACAGAGGTAATGTACTTGATTTGCTATCTGCTCGCCCTCTTTCTATTCTCTGAGTGATAATTAATAGTCAGCAAGGTTATTTTTAAAAATGTCTATGAGCTGATTTTATAAGAAATTCCAAAACAGGGTTGTGAAAATATACTAGAATAACTGGCTGCCACGTCAGAATTACCCGAGATACTTGTTAAAAATTTGATGCCTGGACCTCACTCAAAGGATTCAGACTCAGTCAGTTTAGGCAGCTTGAATCTGTATATTAGTGATCATCTGTGTGCTCTGATTTAGGTGATCCAAGGATGAGCATAATGGGATGTTACTCAAGAAATGTCTCAAATATACTCTCAAGTCTTCCTGACTCTAGTCTTTTTCCCTATTCCAAATAAGCACACATCATATTTTTCAGAAAAAGAAAAATCCTGTTTCATCATGGTAATTACTTGCACAATCACAACAACTCTTACATTGTTTGCTGTACCATGCCCAAAGCTATCAAGACCCTTAAAAACCTAAGCTCTTTCTACTTATGCTTAGTCTTGAACTTTCCTACGGTACATATTTCAGCAGACCAAGCTCCCCTCTGTCTCTCGCATATGGCATCCTGGTGTCTGCTTTTGTGTCTTTCCTCATTAGAATGCCTTATTTTACTTATTCTCATGTCTTTCTACAATCCTACCCCATTCATCAGGAAAACTGACTTGGCTATTATTGTACCTCCTGATGCTTCCTTTCTTTTATCTTCTAGAATATTCATTCATGGCCAGTAAATAGAGTTCAACATTTAATTTTTCAAATTA
Source organism: Homo sapiens (assembly GCF_000001405.40). Classification (NCBI taxonomy): domain Eukaryota; kingdom Metazoa; phylum Chordata; class Mammalia; order Primates; family Hominidae; genus Homo; species Homo sapiens. Next base: position 87,891,667 of record NC_000023.11, on the reverse strand, counting down.
TTTTGTTTCCTCAACTAGAGTATAGACCTATAGACTCCCTGAACAGAGTGCCATTGTATATAGTATTTCTTTGCATGTCCACAGAATGGGAAACATACTGAAATTATATATTGCTCCTTGACTTGATGAATTTACAATCTTGTTAGTTCATGGAAAGACATATTTTGCAGGTTAGTAAAAATGAGTAGCAGTGAGTTATTACCATACTTTGTTTTTATCTTTCTCCATATCATATTTGTCATATTGTATAATGTAAGCATAGCTAAGTAGTTTATAGCATGGCTCAAATGCAAACTGCCTGTAAATCCTGCCATTTGCTAGCTAAATGCCTTTCATTATGTTTCTTACATCTGGATGCATCAATTTCTTCATCTATAAAATTTGACAAACTTTAAAATCTGTCTAAAAGAGTTATTGCGAGTGTTTAAATATATAAGTAAAGGTGCTTAGAAGAATGCTTTGTAGGCCAGGTGCAGTGGCTCACACCTGTAATCCCAGCACTTTGGGAGGCCGAAGCAGGTGGATCATGAGGTCAGGAGATGGAGACCATCCTGGCTGACACGGTGAAACCCCATCTCTACTAAAAATACAAAAAATTGCTGGGCGTGGTGGCACACTCCTGTAGTCCCAGCTCCTCAGGAGCCTGAGGTAGGGGAATTGCTTGAACCCGGGAGGCGGAGGTTGCAGTGAGCAGAGATCGCTCCACTGCACTCCAGCCTCCTGACAACAGAGCAAGACTCTGTCAAAAAAAATGCTTTGTACATAGTAGATGATGAATAAATGTAAGCCTTGCTACTACTATTACTACTTCTAATAGTAATAATATTTTATGATCACAATAGTAATTCTGAGGGGAAGATTGATGATGAAAACCTAAGTGTTAGCAATTTTAATCTCCTTTCCATGTGTTTTTATTCCCCCTGTCTCTACATTTTCTATAACTGGAATGTCTTTTTCAGAGTTCTTTCTACAGTGTCCCATGCCTACCAGTGAACTCCTAATTATCTGTCAAGTCTCAGCTCATATGTCTACTCTATGGAAAGGAGACAGATTGATTGTTCCTTTCTCAGTGGTTTTAAAGCACTCTGAATGTTCATCTATCATAGCTCTTATATGTTTGGAATTGCTTGTTTGACTACTTGTTTGCATATGCCCCATTTCTGCCATCATGAGAATTCTTTGAGGGGAGGAAGTGGTTTTAATCATCTTTGTATCCCCATGGCCTAACATAATACCTGACACAAGCTTAATAAATGTTCTCTCAATAAATGAATGGATTTTACAAGTATTTAAATGCAAGTATTAATGTTGAAAGAGGTTACCTTTTTCTTCAGCACATGGACATTTTATCATCTATTCTTCCTTAGAAATTAAGAGTGATGGTGACCATGTCAAACCACACTACAAAAGAAAAGACCTAAGTTATTTGTAGGTTCCAATTGTTTAAAGGCATTTATGTCATTTTGAAGATATTTTGAAAGATTCAGAAAAAAAATTGATTTAAGAAAGTGAAGAATAAAATGCAGATTCTTAAAATACAAGCAATGTTCTTTATTTGACTAATATATAGAGCTAATGAGCTAATTTTATTAAGAAAAAAACCTGTAATGAGCAGTTACGATTATATATAAAATCTTCACTATGCACAGACAACAAAATGAAAATTTCCAATTTAGAATGTCTATTCACATTTTATCAAGGAACTAAGCATATAGCTTCTCTAGCTCTTTTCATTTCTTTACTGGGTAATCTGCAGGACACTTTTCAAGTAATAAAGCAAACTAGACCTGCTAATACAAATTATTGACATTATCACTTAAAATAAAATGCCAATGATAATGGCTCAGGTATAAAATGTAAATGTGGGCTTTCTAAAAGGGACATAAGACTGTAGAGAACCATGAAGTTTTGACAGCTCTGAATGATTTTGAGGAAATTACTGCATGTACTTCCAGAGAATTTAAAAGTCACTTCAAGTCTATTCTATGTGAATTTCTACCATTTAATGTTCTTAAGGAAATACACCTTTATTGAAATCAATAATTTTCAAATAGCTTTCATTCTCTAAAATGATCTAATCTAAATGCCCTTAAAAGTTTACATTTTTAAAAAACACATAACAATAAAAAACTTTTGCAGCAAATTGACTTTGTTTATTTTTTCCCAACCTGACTCCAGTGTGAGTTTCAAATTTATGGTCTTGGAAGTATTACTGGATTGCATTCTAAAATTTATCTCCAGTAGATAAATAATAATGACAGTTCAAGAGTTGTTTCTTATAGCTAGAGAAAATAATCCACTCTGAAAAAAATTAACAATCTAAAAATTTGTGACTTTCAATTACTTACACATAAATCCTCCAAATCAACAAAGGAAAAATTGGTCACAAACTAGAAATGCATGTCATTCATAATTTTTAATTTTGGTATGAAAATTAACTGGATTATTTTTCTACAGAGATTTTCAGAGCAATGCATAATATAAGGCGTATGTTCTATGCTTCAAGAAATGTGTTACTAAAACACAATAAGTAATCTCACCTACTTTCAAAGTTTTGTCTATAGAACTCTACACAGAAAATTTACAAATGTTTTTTACCCGTCCAAACCTCACTTAGCTCCAGCTTCATATATTGTTTAGTGGTCTTTCCCACTTGAACGCATCAGGGACTTCAAGAATTAGCCAGAGTATAATTTAACTTAGTATCACCCAAAAGCAAGTGGCATCTCCACTCATGTTCACATTTGTAGTCAATGGCAAACTCATCTACCCAATTCAGAAACCTTGGAGTCATCTTTAACTATTCCATATGTTTAGCTCTATACCACCTCATTTCCAATCTAATTGACCATATCCAATTCTACCTTTGGCATTTATTTTTAATCTGATGCCCTCCTCATGCCTACTGTCCCTGACTTTGTTCACAAAACTCAAACAATAGACCTTAATTTTTAAAAAAGTTTTGTTTTGTTTTGTTTTGTTTTTGAGGCTAGGTGCAATGGCTCAATGTCAGCACTCTGAGAGGTAGAAGCGGGTGAATCACTTGAGCTCAGGAGTTTGAGACAAGCCTGGTCAATATAGTGAGGCGCTATCTCTACAAAAATTAAAAATTGGCTGGCTGTGGTGATGTGTGCCTATAGTTCTAGCTACTCAGGAAGCTGAAGGGAGAGGATTGCTTTGGCCCAAGAAGTTGGGTCTGCAGTAAGCTAGATTGTGCCACTATTCCCCAGCCTAGATGACAGAGTGAGACCCTGTCTCAAAAATAAATAAATAAATAAATAAATAAATAAATAAATAAATAAGTACTATTTTGACATAATTTTAGATTTAAAGAAGAGTTTTAAGGATAGCACAGAGTTCCTGTATACACTTCACCCAGCTTCTCCTAATGTTAACACCTTATTTAGCCATGTTACATTTGCCAAAACTAAGAAATTAACATCTGTACAATATATCTAACTAAACTACAGACTGAAGTAGATTTCATCAGGTTTTTAAATAGTGTTTTTTATTTTCCATGATTCAATTCAGGATACCACATTGCATTTAATAATTGTGTTTGGTCTCCTCCTGACTGTGATAGTTTCTCAATCTCATTTTCCATGTTTTTAATATTCTTGAATAGTTCCGATCACATATTTATAGAATGCCCCATAATTTGAGTTCATCTGATGGTTCCTCATGATTAGACTGGTGTTATGTATTATTAGAAAGAATGCCACAGAAGTGATGTGTGCTTCTAAGTGCCTAGTGTCAGGGAGTTACATTATAGTAACATGGCTTGTAATTTGAGGTGTTAAACTTGACCATTGTTTAAGGTAGTGTTTGCCAAGTTTGTCTATTTTAAAGTTACTATTTTTCTTTCTGTATAACCTGTTCATTTGAATTGAGTCATGATGTCTATCTCGACCTCAAGGGAAGGGAAGCAATATCAACTGCATGAAGTATTGTAAAAGATTTTACAGATATACATTAATATTATCCAGTAATTTCTGGTAATATTTTAGAGAAAATACTTGGAGGCTCTGCAAACATCTTGTTCCTCCTTAAAGTTTCTTCCACTAATTTTATAGTTTACTTATGGAGCTTGCCCACAGAATTTATTGTTGCAGTGATCTAATGGTGATTTTCTATTTTCCTCATTCATTCTACATTAATTATTTGGAACTACTTAATAAAGATTTTCCTTGAATGGCCATGTATTTATTTATTGAATAAATTATTTCAGTATGAACTCAGAGATATTTATATTGTTCTTTGGATTAAAATCTAATACTATCGTTATCTATTATATTGCATAAATTGCTCCAGGCTTGACAATTAAGAACTCTTTAAATTGGTACCTTATAACTTTAACATACTCTATTCTTGCATTTTCTTTTTGCCTTAATTCCTTCCTTTCCTCCTTTATTTTGAGCACTTTATTAGTTTTTGTCAATATAAGATGCTCCAAGAACATCTTATATTTTCCCTGGCCCAACCCTTATAATCAACCATTTCTCCAAGGATCCCTGTGTCCTTTTATTGGAGAATGATACTAGAAACTAAGATACGAGCACAGGATGTGCTTTTTGCTACTATGGTGTCATTCCTTCCATAATAAGGCCATATGTGAGAAGCCCACAGCTAATATTACACTTGAGTAAAAAATTGAAAGTCTTTCTTCTGAAAATTGAAGCAAGATAAGGGTGCCAACTCTCACCACTTCTATTCAACATAGTGCTGGAAGACTTACAGAAATTTTGCAAGAAAAAGAATAACAATTTTCCATAGAGGAAAGAAAAAGAAATAAAATTGGATATATTGGAGGCAGAGCAAGATAGCAGAGTAGAAAGCTCCATGTGTTGTCACCTTTGCAAAGACACCAATTTATCAACTATCTACACAGAAAAAAAAAACCTTCATAAAAAAACAAAAAATCAGGTGAGCATTCACAGTACCTGATTTTAACTTCATATCTCTGAAAGAGGCACTGAAAAGATGGAAAAAACAGTCCTGCATCACCAAAATCCTCCCCCACCCCAAGCAGCAGCACTACAGTGCTGAGAACATTTCTGGATGCTGGGAAAGGCAGAACACAGCAATTGTGAGGCATTGAACTCAGTACTGTTCTGTTAGGGCAGAAACAAAAAAAACACCAAACTCAGCTGATGTCCACCCACAGAGGGAGCATTTAAATCAGCCCTACATACAGGGTAATCACCAATTTCAGTGGTCCTAACTTCAGTGCCCAAAAAACTTGCCACTGAGGGCCAAAGTGCTTTTCGTCACTAAGTAAATTTGAAAGGCAGCTTAGGCCATGTGGACTGCAACTCTTAGGCAAGTCCTAGTGCTGAACTAAGCCCTGAGACAATGGACTGGGGAGACATGTAACATATTGAGACACCAGCTGAAGAAGCCAAGGGAGTGCTAGCATTATACCTCCCATAGCCCCAGGCTGCACAGCACATGGCTCCAAGAGTCCCCTTTCTTCTGCTTGAAGAGAGGAGAGAGAAGAGTGAGGAAGACTTTGTCTTGTGTCTTGGATACCAGCTCAGCCGCAGCAGAATGGGGCACTGATCAGAATCATGAGGCCCTTGTTCCAGGGCCTAGCTCCCAGATGACGTTTCTAGACACACCCTGGGCCAGAAAAGAAGCCACTGCCTTGAAGTAAAAGACCCAGTCCTGCTAACATTCATCACCTGCTAACTGAAGAGCTCTTGGGCCCTGAAAAACCAGCAGTGATACCCAGGTACTACATCAAGAACCTTGGTGAGCCTCTGAGACTTGCTAGCTTCAGGTGAGATTCAGCACATTGCCAGCTGTGGTGACTACGGGGCAAAACTCCTCCTGCTTGAAAAAAGCAGAAGGAAAAGTAAGAGGCTTTGTTTTGCACTGTAGGTACCAACACCACTACAGGGTGGTAGAGAACCAAGCTGGCTCTTGGGGTCCTCGACCTCAGGACTTGTTTTTTAGATACCATTTCTGGACCTGCCCTGTTCTGGAGGGGAGCCCACTGCGCTGAAATGTGAGTCCAAGGACAGGCAGCATTCACCATAAGCGGACTTCAGAGACCAGGTGCCTTAAGGATACATCGATGGTAGTCTGGCAGTGTTCTTCTTGGCCAGGGATGGCAGTGGCTATGGGGTGAGGGTCCTCTGCCTTTGGAAAGAGGAGGGAAGCATGAGAAGGACTGCATCTTGTGGTTTGAGTGCCAATTCAGCTGCAATACAATAGAATACCAGATAGACTTCTGAGGTTTTTTACTCCAGTCCCTGACACCCAGACAGTGCTTCTGGACCTACCTGAAGCCTGAGAGACATTGCTGCCATGAAGAGAAGGACATAGGCATGACAGGCATTGCCACCTGCTGATTGTAGAGCCCCAGGACCTTGAGAAAACATAGGCAGTAGCCAGGGAGAGGTTACAGCAGGCCTTGGGTGAGTCCCAGCACAGTCCTTGTTTCAGGTCTAACCCAGTGCAGTCCTAGTGGTGGTGACCACAAGGGTGCCTCTGTCACTCTACCTCCAGCTTTAGGTGGCTCAGAACAGACAGAGAGACTGTATGCTTAGGAGAAAGTAAGAGAAGAGAACAAGAGTCTCTACCTGATAATCCAGAGAATTCTCCCAGATCTTGTCCAAGACCATCAAGATGGAACCTCTATGAATCTGCAAGAACCACAGCATTACTGATCTTTGGATGCTCCCTGAAGCAGAAACAGCTTACATCACAGAACCCAAGCCGTTTTAAATATCTGGATAGTCTTCTCAAGAAGGATAACAACAAATAAGCCCAGATTGTAAAGATTACAATAAATACCTAAATCTTCAATATCCAGATACCAAAAATAACCTACTAGCAGGAACACCATCCAGCAAAACATGATGTCACCAAATGAACGAAATAAGGAACTAGGAACCAGTCCTTGAGAAAGAGAGATATATGACCTTACAGAGAACTCAAAATAGCTGTGTTGAGGAAACTTAAAGAAATTCAAGATAACATAGACAAGAAATTTAATTATATCAGGTAAATTTAACAAAGATGTTGAAACAATTAAAAAGAATCAAGCAAAAATTCTGGAGCTGAAAAAATGCATTTGGCACACTAAAGGATGCATTGGGGTCCATTAATAGCAGAATGGATCAAGCAGAAAAAGAATTAGTGAGCTTGAAGATAGCCTATTTAAAAGTACAAAATCAAAAGAGATAAAAGAAAAAATATATAAAAGAATGAAGCATGCCTGTAGCATCTGAAAAATAGACTCACAATGGCAAGTTTAAGGGTTATCGGCCTTAAAGGAGAGGTGGAGAGATGGGGGTAGCAAGTTTATTCAAAAGGATAACAGAGAACTGCCCACACGTAGAGAAAGATATCAATCGCCCAGTACAAAAAGGTTATAGAACACTAAGCAGATTTAACCCAAGGAAGACTTCCTTGAGGCATTTAATAATCAAACTACCAAAGGTCAAAAATAAGGAAAGGATCCTAGAAGCAGCAAGAGAAAAGAAACGAATAATATACAATGGAACTGCAATACGTCTGGCATCAGACTTTTTAATTGACAGATTACAGACCAGGAGAGAGTGACATGACATTTTTAAAGTGTTAAAGGAACACAATTTTTTACCCTAGAATAGTATATCCAGTGAAAATATCTTTAAAACATGAAAGAGAAATGAAGACTTTTCCAAACGAACAAAATCTGTGGGGTTTAATTGATACCAGACCTGTCCTACAAGAAATGCTAAAGTGAATACTTCAGTCTGTAAGAAAAGAACATTAATGAGCAATAAATAATCACTTGAAGGAACAAAACTTAGTGGTAATAGTAAGTACACAGAAAAACACACAATATTATAACACTGTAACTAGTGTGTAAACTACTCTTATCATAAATAGAAAGACTAAATGATGAACCAATCAAAAATAAAAACTACAGCAAATTTTCAAGACATAGTACAATAAGATGTAAATACAAACAACAAAAAATTTAAAAATTGGAATGAAATTAAGGCAAGTTTTTATTGGTTTTCTTTTTGCTTGTTTGTGCAAATACTGTTGTTATCAGGTTAAAATAATGGGTTACAATATAGTATTTGCAAGCCTCATGGTAACCTCAAACCAAACATATATAATGAATACACAAAAAATAAAAAGCAAGAGACTAAATCATATCACCAGAGAAAATCCTCTTCACCAGAGGAAGACAGAAAGGAAACAAAGAAGGAAGAGAAGACCACAAAACAACCAGAAAACAAATAGCAAAATGGCAGGAGTAGGTTAGTTTCTTACTTATCAAGAATAACATAATATGTAAATGTAATAAACACTCTAAAGAAAACACATAGACTAGCTGAATGAATGATAAAACAAGACCCATTGATCTGTTGCCAACAGGAAACACACTTCACCTATAAAGACACAAATAGACATGAAATAAAGGGATGGAAAAAGATCTTCACTGTCAATGGAAACCAAAAAAGAATAGGAGTCATTAATATAAGACAAAATACATTTTAAGACAAAAAATATAAGAGACAAAGAACATTACTATATAATGACAAAGGAGTTAATTCAGCAAGAGGATATAACTATTTTAAATATATATGCACTGGAGCACACAGATATATGAAGGAAATATTATTAGAGCTAAAGAGAGAGATAGTCCCCAATACAACAATAGCTGGAGACTTCAACATACCACTTTCAGGATTGGACAGGTCTTCCAGGCTAAAAATCAACAAAGAAACATCAGACTTAATCTTCACTATAGACAACATAGATCTAATAGATATTTACAGAACATTTTATTCCAGAGCTGCAATACACACTCTTTTGCTCAGCACACGAATCATTCTCAAGGATACTCCACATGTTAGTTAACAAAACAAGTCTTAAAACTGAAAAAACAAATAAAATAATATGAAGTATCGTCTCTGATCACAATGGAATAAAAGTAGTAATTAAGATAAATTTTGGAAACTATACAAATACATAGAAATTAAACAAATAATGTGAAATGACCAGTGTGTCAATGAAGAAATTAAGAAAAAAATTAAAAACGTCTTGAAACAAATAATAATTATAACACACCAAAACCTATGAAATACAACAAAGGCAGCACTAAGAGAAAAGTTTATATCTAGAAGTGCCTACATCAAAAAAAAGAGAAAAAAGTCCAAATAAATAATATAACAATGCATCCTAAAAAACTAAACAAGCAAGAACCAATTAAAGTATAATAATAATAAAATTTTTTAAAAACCCCAAAAGTATTAGAAGAAAAAAATAAAAATCAGGGCATAAATAAATGAAATTGAAATAAAAAAACAATAGAAAAGATCAGTAAAACAATGTTATTTTTTGTAAAGTTAAACAAAATTCACAAACCTTTAGCCAGACTAACTAAAAAAAGAGAGAGAGAGAAGATCCAAATGAATAAAATCAGAAATGAAGAAGGAGACATTACAACTGATAATGCAGAAATTCAAAGGATCACTAGTGGCTTCTGTGAGTAACTGTAAGCCAACAAATTGGAAAATCTAGATGAAATGGACAAATTCCTAGATATATGCAACATACCAAGATTAAACCAGGAAGAAATCCAAAACGTGAATAAACCCATAACAAGTAATGAGATTAAAGCCATAATAAAAAGTCTCCCAGGAAAGAAAAGCCTGGAACCCAATGTCTTCACTGCTGAATTCTACCAAGCATTTAAAGAACAACTAATACCAATCCTACTCAAATTATTCTGATAGTAGAGGAAGGGTGAATACTTTTTTTTTTTTTTTGTTTTTGATATGGAGTCTCGCTCTGTCACCCAGGCTGCAGTGCAGTGACACGATCTCGGCTCACTGCAAGCTCCGCCTCCTGGGTTCACACCATTCTCCTGCCTCAGCCTCCCGAGTAGCTGGGACTACAGGCACTCGCCACCACGCCCAGCTAATTTTTTTTAATTTTTAGTAGAAACGGGGTTTCACTGTGTTAGCCAGGATGGTCTGGATCTCCTGACCTCGTGATCCACCCACCTCGGCCTCCCAAAGTGCTGGGATTACAGGCATGAACCACCGTGCCCAGCCCTGGAAGGGTGAATACTTTTAAACTCATCTACAAGGGCAGTATTACTCTGATATCAAAACTAGACAAAGACACATCAAGAAAACTATAGGTCACAGTAGTTCAATATGCATCTCTGATAAATATTGATACAAAAAACTTCAATAAAATATTAGCAAATCATATTCAGCAATACATTAGAAAGATTGTTCATTATGACCAAGTGGCATTTATCCTTGAGATGCAAGGATACTTCAACATACATAAACCAATCAATATGATACATCACATTAATAGAATAAAGGAAAAAAATGATCATTTCAATTAATGATGAAAAAGCATTTGATAAAATTTAACATCCCTTCATGATAAAGCCCCTCAAAAAACTAGGAATAGAGGAACCATACCTCAACATAATAAAAACCATATATGCCAGACCCACAGCTAATATCTTACTAAATATAAAAAAAAACTGAAAGCTTTTCCTCTAAGATCTGGAACACGACAGTGATGACAAGTGTCACTACTGTTATTCCACATAGTACTGGAAGTCCTAGCTAGAGGAAACTGACAAGAAAAATATATTAATTTAAAGGGCATCCAAATTGGAAAGAAAAGTTAAATGACACTTGTTTGCAGATGATATAATCTTATCTTTGGAAAAGCCTAAAGACTCCACCTAAAGAACTATTAGAACTGAACAAAAAATTCAGTAAAGCTGCAGGATACAATATCAACATGCTAAAGTTAGCAGCATTTCTATATGCCAAGACTGAACAATTTGAAAAGGAAATACAAAGTAATACTATTTATAATACACACATATAAAATTAAATACCTAGGATTAACCAAAGAAATAAAATAGCTCTATAATTAAAGCTATAAAGATCTGATGAGGAAAATCGAGGACATCAAGAAATGGAAAAATTCCATGTTCATGGTTTGGAAAAATAGATATTGTTAAAATGCCATTACTAACCAAAGCAATCTACAGATTCAATGTAATCCCTATCAAAATACCAATGACATTCTTCAAAGAAATGGGGAAAAATATCCTAAAACTTATGTGAAACTGCAAAAGACCCTAAATAGTCAAAGCTATTTTCAGTAAAAAGAACAAAACTGGAGGCTGGAAAAATCTCATTACCTCATTTCAAATTTTATTACAGAGCTATAGTAACCAAAACAGCATGGTACTGTCATGAAAGCAGACACATAGACCAATGGAACAAAATAGAGAAACCAAAAACGAACCCACACACCTATGGTGAACTTGTTTTTGACAAAAGTACCAAGAATATATACTGGAGAAAAGACAGCCTCTTCAATAAATGGTGCTGCGAAAACTGGATATCCACATGGAAAAGAATTAAACTATCTCTCACCATATACAAAAATTATATCAAAATGGATAAAAGACTTAAATCTAAGACATCAAACCATGAAACTACTACAAGAAAACACTAGGGAAAATATCCAGGATGTTGGTCTGGGTAAAATATTTTTGAGCAATACTCCACAAGCACAGGCAACCAAAGCAAAAATTCACAATATCAACTTAAAAAAAGCTTCTGCACAGCAAAGGTTAACATCAACAAAGTAAAGAGACCACCCACAGAATGGCAGGAAATATTTGCAAACTACTCATCTTACGAAGGATGTATTGCTAGTGTATATAAGCAGTTCAAATAACTCTGTAAGAAATTAATACTCTGATCAAAAACTTAGCAAAATATTTTCACAGACATTTTTGAAAACAAGACATGTAAATGGCAAACAGCTACATAAACTGATGCTCAACAACACTGATCATCGGAGGAATGGAAATCAAAACTGTGAGATATTATCTTCCCCCAGTTAAAATGGCTTTTATCTGAAACAAAGGCAACAACAAATGCTGGTGATGATGTGGAGAAAAGGGAACCCTTGTACAATGTTGAAGGAAATGTAAATTAGTACAACAACTATGGAGAACAGTTTGGAGGTTCCTCTAAAAAATAAAAATAGAGCTACCACATGATCCTTTAATCCCACTGCTGGATATACACCCAAAAGAAAAAAAAAATCAGTATATTGAAGAGATATCTGGACCCCTATGTTTGTTGCAGTACTGTTTACAATAGTTAAGATATGGAAGCAACCAAAGTGTTCATCAAGAGATAAATGGATTAAAATAATCTGGTACATACACGCAATGGAGTACTATTCTGCCATAAAAAAAATGAGGTCCAGTCATTTGAAATAACATGAATGGAAATGGAGATCATTATTTTAAACGAAATAAGCCAGGCACAGAAAGACAGACATCACATGTTCTCACTTATTTGTGGGAATAAGTGTCTATTCCATTGAGGACAAACCTCTGCCATTTCCGTGATGGAAGACGTCCAATATAATCCACCTGCCACCAGGTAGCCGGCTGATCACCCTGAGAAATGGTGTCATATCGAGAGCTCAGTGTAGGTGTCTGCTCCTGGCAAATTGGGCACTCAGCAATGGCCACAGTCAGGTCAGCCTTGGTGAGTGGAAGTCCATGTTGCTGAGCCCATGCGTAACCTCCATCCCTGCCACCATAGCCGCTTTATTCATGGGCCCACTCGGCGACGACGGGGGTGGCTGGGGAAAGAGGCTGAGTGGTGTCCACACAACTGGTCATCCTACCCACTTGATTATCAAAATCCTCCTCTGCTGAGGTCACCCATTGGTGAGCACTCACATGGGATACAAATATCTTCACAGTTTTTGACCATTCAGAGAGGTCTATCCACATAATTCTTCCCCAAATTTCTTTGTCACCAATTTTCCAATCACGCTTCTTCCAAGTCCCTGACCATACCGCCAAACCATTGGCTACAGCCCATGAATCAGTACATAATCGCACATCTGGCCATTTCTCCTTCTATGCAAAGTGCACAACCAGGTGCACTGTTCAAAGTTCTGCCCACTGGGAAGCTTTCTCTTCACTGCTGTCCTTCAGAGATGTCCTAGAAAGGGGCTGTCATGCTGCAGCTGTCCACTTTCAGGTGGTGCCTGCATATTGTGCAAAACCATCTGTGAACCAGGCCCTAGTTTTCTCTTCCTCTGTCAACTGATCATAGGAACTCCACATGAGGCCATCAGTGTAGGCTGGGGGAGAGAAGGCAGGGTGGCAGGAGTGGAGACCATGGGCATTTGAGCCACTTCCTCATGTAACTTGTGCCTTCGGGACCTGCTCAAGCCCAATCACATATATTTCCAATCACAACCACTTCCATTTGATGATGGAATGCTGCTGTCCATGACCCACTTTGTGGTTAGATGGGTTAGAAAGCACCCAGTTCATGATAAGTGTTTCAGGTGACATGGTGACCTGATGAACCTTAGTCAAACGTTCAGTTTCCACCAAAGCCCAGTAACAGGCCAAGAGCTGTCTCTCAAAAGGAGAGAAGTTATCTGCAGAAGGTGGCAGGGCTTTGCTCCAAAATCCTGGAGGCCTCCACTGTGATTTACTTATGGGGACCTGCCAAAGTCTCCAAACAGCTTCCCTAACTGCCACTGACACCTCAAGCACCATTGGATCTGCTGGATCATATGCCCCAAGTGGCAGAGCAGCTTGCATAACATCCTGGACCTGTTGCAGAGCCTTCTCCTGTTCTGGACCCCACTCAAAACTGGCAGTCATAAATGGGCCAGAGTAACACAACCAAATAAGTAATGTGTTGCCTTCAAAATCCAAATAGGCCCAATAGGCATTGTGCCCCTTTCTTGGTTGTAGGAGGGGCCAAATGCAGCACCTTCACCGTAGAAGGAATATCTCAACAGTCCCCACACCACTGGACCCCTAGAAATTATACTGAGATAGAAGATCGCTGAATTTTAGTCAGATTTATTTTCCATCCTTTGGCGCACTAACGTCTCGCCAATAAGTCCAGCGTGTTTGCTACTTCTTGCTCACTGGATCCAATCAGCATAATGTCATCAATATAATAGACCAATGTGATATCTTGTGGAAGTGAAAGCGGTCAAGGTCTCTCCAATTAAGATTATGACACAAAGCCAGAGAGTTGATATGCCCCTGATGTAGGACAGTAAAGGTTTATTTCTGGCCTTGCCAGCTGGAGGTAAATTGCTTCTGGTGGACCTTATGGAAAGGAATGGAGAAAAAAGCATTTTCCAAGTAAATGGCTGCATACCAGGTACCAGGAGATGTGTTAATTTGCTCAAGCAATAAAACCACATCTGGTACAGCAGCTGTAATTGGAGTCACCACTTGGTTAAGCTTATGGTAATCCACTGTCATTCTCCAAGGTCCATCTTCTTCACAGGCCAAACGGAAGAGTTGAACAGGGATGTGGTGGGAATCACCACCCCTGCACCTTTCAAGTCCTTGATAGTGGCACTGATCTCCGCAATCCCTTCAGGGATGTGATATTGTTCTTGATTTACTATTTTTCTAGATAGAGGCGGCTCCAATGGCTTCCATTTTGTCTTTGCCACCATAGCCCTCACCCTACCAGTTAGGGAGCCAATATTGCGGTTCTGCCAGCTGCTAAAAATGCCTATGTCAATTATGCATTCTCCCACAGAGGAAATCATCACAAGATGAGTCCAGGGACACACTGGACCCACTGAAAGTTAAGAGCTGAGCTAAAACATCCTGAGCTAAAACACCTGATCTCCATAAGCCCCTACATTAACTGGAAGACCACAGTGACATTTTAGGTCCCCTGGAATCAACATCAGCTCAGAGCCAGTGTCTAGCAGTCCCTGAAATGTCTGATCATTTCTCTTTCCCCAGTGGACAGTTACCCTGGTAAAAGGCCAGAGGTGTCCTTGTGGAAGGGTGGGAGAAAGATTAATAGCATAAATAGTCAGTAGTGTAGTGGGGTCTTTCATCAAGGGTACCAGGCCTCACCTTCATTCAAGGGGTGAATGTGTTGCCTCCAAAATCCAAATAGGCCCACTGGGCATTGTGACTCTTTCTTGGTTATAGGAGGGGCCAAATGCAGCAACTTATCTTTCACCTTAGAAGAAATATCTTGACAAGCCTGACACCATTAGGCCCCTAGACATTTTACTGAGGTAGAAGGTCCCTGAATTTTAGTCAGATTTATTTCCCATCCCCTGGCACACTAATGTCTCAACAATAAGTCCAATGTGTTTGCTACTTCTTGCTCATTGGATCCAATCAGCATAATGTAATTAATGTAATGGACCAGTGTGATACCTTGTGGAAGCAAAAATCGATCAGGGTCTCTTCAAACAAGATTATGACACAAAGCCGGAGAGCTGATATACCCCTAAGGTAGGACAGTAAATTGAGAAAATGACCAAAAGGGGGAAATTGTTAAAGGAAACTAAATATGGCCTGAGAAGGACTCCGTACTTCTATATTAGGTCCTTGTGGACAAACTGCAACCTAACTTAATAGGTAGACAAGATTGAAAGCCTAACTTAGGAGTATGTACCTGTAACAATAGCTGAGTCTTGGCCAATCCCAGCAGTGGTACTTTCACCATCCATACCCTGTTGAATGTTTAAACTGTGTTCAAGTAAGGCAAACACCAACGTGTAACCAATCCTGCTGTTCTGTACCTCACTACTAATTTCTGTGTGTCATTTTCCTTTCTTTGTCTATAAATCTTTTTCCAACACGTGGCTGCACTGGAGTCTCTGTGAACCTGCTGTGATTCTGGGAGCTGCTCTATTCACTAATCGCTCATTGCTCAATTAAACTCCTTTAAATTTAACTCGGCTTAATTTTTTGTTTTATCAAAGTGAAAAACATTATACTAAGTGGAGTAAGCCAGGGACAAAAAGACAATTACCACATATTCTCATTTATATTTGGAATCTAAAATAATTGATCTCATACCTACAGCATAGAAAGTACAAAAGTGGTTACAGAGGGTGGGGAGTGGAAAAATGGAAAAATGTTGATCAAACTGTACAAAACCTCAGTAAGGAGTAACAATTTTTTTTGAGATCTATTGCACAACACAATTAGTATCATTACCAATTGTATACTATACATTTCAAAAGTGTCAAGAGTAAATCCCAAATGTTCTTATCACCAGCAGAAGAATTTGAGGTGATAGACATGTTAATTAGCTTGATTTAGTTTTTTTGCATTGTATTCATAAATCATTACCTCATGTTCTATCCCATAAATATATACAATTATAAAGTGTCAATTTACAATAAAATAAAAAATATTTTTTATTGATTATTTTTATTTCTACCTCTTTAACAATATTCTGTATTTGATAAGACATTGTTTTCATACCTTCCTTTACTTCTTTAAGCATTATTTCCTTTAGTTCTTATAACATATTTATAATGGCTACTTTAAAGCATTTTAAAAATCTGATACCTGGCCCCTTTTGCAGACAGTTTCTTTTGCCTGCTTCCCCCCTCTCCATTGGTATGTATCACACTTTTCAGTCTCAGCCTGTCTCCAAATTTTTGTTTAAAAAGAGACAATTTAGATAATATATTGTAGCAAGCTGAAAACTTATAACATTAAGGGGTTACTGTTGTCGTGGTGTTGTTGCTTGTTGGTTGGTTTTTCATTTATTTCTTTAATGATTTTGCAGAATTGATTGCGCAAATATTTTTCCTGCAATATGTAACCTCCTTTGTCCTGAATCCGTTTTTTTTTTTTTTCTTCTAGTTTTGATCTTTTAGTCTGGCTACTGAGGGGTCACCTCTATGTCAGGTTAGTCATTTATTGGACACAAATTGTTCTATAGCACTCTTAGCCTGTTACATTTTCATTCTATACCATTAGACATATGTATGTGGCGCCATTGTAGTTTTATGAGTTTATATGTTTCCGTATGTTCATCCAGAAACTAGTAGATTAGTTTTTCCCTCTTTTATTATTCTTGTGATAGCATATTCTTAGAAATGAACACAGTGTTTTAGATTAATTGATATTTTTAGAGTAACGAGGCAGCCATGAGCAGAGCAGGAGAGGGCACCAGCCCCCACCAGAAATGTCAGGTGACCACCAGGTGATAGTCATGGTTTTTAAACTGTCTCTCTAAAATAAGAATTGGTCATAGTTGATGCCAGGGAAAGGCAGTTTCCGAATAGATAAAAAACATCTGAAGCTGGTGATCAACAGCTTCCTGATAAGATCTCGGGAGTTGGGAAAATAGGCTCAGGCATGCACGCTAAGAGGGAAAATGGTGGAGTCTGACTGATATATGACCTTCCTCTAGGAACACTTAACTGGTAAGAAAAAAAACACCTAAAATGAGCACGCACACAACTTCAGCAAACACGCTGTGCATACGACTCCTCTCAAGTGCTGGCAGGCCACCGCACATGCAGAGAGCCCACCCCAAGGAAAAATCGAGGGAGGGGAAATGCAAACTCCAAACCACACCAATGTATAAAACCCCAGGTCACAGGCTGAACAGAGCACTTAGATCTTTCAAGTTGCTTGCTTGGCCCTCTTCCAAGTGTACTTCCCTTTTGTTCTCTAAAACTTTTTAATCAACTCTCACTCCTGCTCAAAACTTGCCTCGGTCTCTCACTCTGCCTTATGCCCCTCATGTGAATTATTTCCTTCGAGGAGGCAAGAATCGAGTTGCTGCAGATCCATAGAAATTCGCTGCTGCTAACATACTTTGGTGCCTTGTGACTGGGATACATTCCCTAATGGTAAGACACCTCTACACCTCACCTTGTTCACTGGAAGTGTTCAACCCCCCATACACAGTTTTCTCCTCCTCTTTCACTGCTCTACTTACTAACAAACCCCCAGAACTATTGATTTCAGCCATAGTGACTCTGGTTTTCCCAGCTGATCTCTCAGCTGACCCTGATGGGTGGTTTGCAGGGGTGGGAAGAACCTTGGAGTCTGCACCATGTAGACCTGAGACACTAATGGCCCTCCTGGATAGGAAGGCTCATGATAGTGGTAGCGCTAAAGCCTAAAGCTGTGCAATGTCTGGGGTTTCCTCTGCTTTTTCATCTAAAATTGGCTCTTTTCCAAAACCCTTCACAATCTCCTCTCCTGTTTTCTCTGTGTGTATTCTGAAATGGCCTTGTGCACCCACCAGACTGTACACCTCAGGAGCAAGTCTGCTTTTCTTTGCTTTCACTTTGCATGCCACACGACTTCCTTCTCTGCCTTAAACACACACTCACTGTTTGTTATTTGTGCACCTGTGGCTCTTGCTTTATTTGCCTGGAAGAGAAGAGACAGGCTCTCTTGTGGATATTCCCTGAGATTTATACTTGTTTTTACATGACCAGCTCAGATGACCTCTAAACTTTCCCCTGTCCATTGGTTCACTGAAGGGACAGACGCTAATAAGTCCCTGGTAATGTCTAAATACCCCACATCCTTTGGGGATGGGTGCCTGCTTAATAATTCTTCCATTCCATGAACATAAAATGAATTTCCATTTCTTTAGGTCCTTTTAAATTATTTCATCAGTGTTTAATAGTTTTCATTGTAGAGATCTTTCACTTCTTTAGTTAAGTTAATTCCTAGGTATTTAATTTTATTTGTGGCTATTGTAAATGGAATTAATTTTTAATTTTTTTTCCAGATTGTTCACTATTGGCATATAGAAATGCTACTAAATTTTGTATGTTATTATGGATTTGTGTTTGCACATGTGTGTGTGTGTATTTGTGTTTAAGTATAAAAATAAAGTATAAAGATATAGAAAAAGAAGAGGTTAAAGGTTCGGAAGGACATACAGAATACTGATAATACTTTTTTTTTCTTTGGGGAGAGTAATCTGGGTGTTCTTTGAAACCAGGATAAATAACGTATTAATCGTTCAATTAAAACCTTAAAAATAATTGATGGTCTAAGATCCTGAAGCAGATAGGAGCTTGTGGATTTAAGGACAGAACTAAATTTGTTCATCAGGGCAAAAGAAAGGAGAAAGGAACGCTTCTTTCTCTAAAAGGAGAAGGAAAGTAGTAACATGCAGGTTGTTCTCTATCTGCACACCCCATGCATTTTCAGTTCTTCTCTCTTGTGTTATGTGCTCTGGGAGGTTTCCCTTAATTGAGCTGTCTTACTGAATAACATCTGATTAGGTTTGACCACTTGGAAGCAGCGGCTATTAGGAAGACAGGTAGAGAAGTAAGTATGAATACTTCTTTTTCATCCCTTCCCTACTTCAGTGCCACATTTAATAGTACTGGCTGCATTTCTTCAGGACTATAGCTCTCAGGAGGCAGGTTCTTCTCCATGGTTCCAATTGTCAAAGTGCTCTGCTATGGTTATTTTTTTTTCATTTGTCCTATCAAGATGAGGCATGGGAATAGATTCTGAAGATACAGTTAGACAGGAATGATAATGATGAGCTACTAAACTATACTAACGTTTATCTTTTTTTCAGGAAAAATGTGAGGCATGGTCATATAAATAAAGTGAGAAAAAGGTAACAGGATTGAGTATATTAGTCAGCTATTGCCAACGAACTAATTATTTTAATTCCTAATATCTAAAAAATAATTAAAGAATCAAAACCCTACATGATGTGATCTCATTTTCAACTACTCTTTAGCCTACTCTCCTACATTACCCAAATATTCTAGATGTTTTTCTTTTTTTTTTTAATTATACTTTTAAGTTTTAGGGTACATGTGCACAACATGCACATTTGTTACATATGGTTTGTTACATATGTATACATGTGCCACGTTGGTGTGCTGCACCCATTAACTTATCATTTAACATTAAGTATATCTCCTAATGCTATCCCTCCCCCCTCCCCCTACCCCACAACACACCCCTGTGTGTGATGTTCCCCTTCCTCTGTCCATGTGTTCTCATTGTTCAATTCCCACCTATGAGTGAGAACATGCGGTGTTTGGTTTTTTTGTCCTTGTGATAGTTTACTGAGAATGATGGTTTCCAGCTTCATCCATGTCCCTACAAAAGACATGAACTCATCCTTTTTCATGGCTGCATAGTATTCCACGGTGTATATGTGCCACATTTTCTTAATCCAGTCTATCAATGATGGACATTTGGGCTGGTTCCAAGTCTTTGCTATTGTGAATAGTGCCACAATAAACATACGTGTGCATGTGTCTTTATAGCAGCATGATTTATGATCCTTTGGGTATATACCCAGTAATGGGATGGCTGGGTCAAATGGTATTTCTAGTTCTAGATCCCTGAGGAATCGCCACACTGACTTCCACAATGGTTGAACTAGTTTACACTCCCACCAACAGTGTAAAAGTGTTCCTATTTCTCCACATCCTCTCCAGCACCTGTTGTTTCCTGACTTTTTAATGATCGCCATTCTAACTGGTGTGAGATGGTATCTCATTGTGGTTTTGATTTGCATTTCTCTGATGGCTAGTGATGATGAGCATTTTTTCACGTGTCTTTTGGCTGCATACATGTCTTCTTTTGAGAAGTGTCTGTTCATATCCTTCGCCCACTTGTTGATGGGGTTGCTTGTTTTTTTCTTGTAAATTTGTTGGGGTTCATTGTAAATTCTGGATATTAGCCCTTTGTCAGATGAGTAGATTGCAAAAATTTTCTCCCATTCTGTAGGTTGCCTGTTCACTCTGATGGTAGTTTCTTTTGCTGTGCAGAAGCTCTTTAGTTTAATTAGATCCCATTTGTCAATTTTGGCTTTTGTTGCCATTGCTTTTGGTGTTTTAGACATGTAGTCCTGGCCCATGCCTATGTTCTGAATGGTATTGCCTAGGTTTTCTTCTAGGGTTTTTATGGTTTTAGGTCTAACATTTAAGTCTTTAATCCATCTTGAATTAATTTTTGTATAAGGTGTAAGGAAGGGATCCAGTTTCAGCTTTCTCCATATGGCTAGCCAGTTTTCCCAGCACCATTTATTAAATAGGGAATCCTTTCCCCATTTCTTGCTTTTGTCAGGATTGTCAAAGATCAGATAGTTGTAGATGTGTGGCATTATTTCTGAGGGCTCTATTCTGTTCCATTGGTCCATATCTCTGTTTTGGTACCAGTACCATGCTATTTTGGTTACTGTAGCCTTGTAGTATAGTTTGAAGTCAGGTAGGGTGATGCCTGCAGCTTTGTTCTTTTGGCTTAGGATTGACTTGGCAATGCGGGCTCTTTTTTGGTTCCATATGAACTTTACTCTATACATGTTTAAAATTTTCCAATTTTCTCCTTTTGCTCTTACTCTTCCTCTTGCAGTAATTCTTTCTTTCTTTCTCCCCTTTTTCCTCACTAAAGCCCCCTCCTGTTTCTGCATATTTGAATTCTAACAACACCTATATGTCAATTTACTAACTTTTTACTATGAAAATGTTCAAAATAGAAAAAAATTGTACAGTGAACACCCATACACCTACCTCTTAGATTCTACAATTAACCTTTAATTATATTTAACTTACAGCATACAATCCATCTATTCTTTCCTCTGTCCATCCATGAATCCTCTTGTTTCTGAAGCTTCTCAGTTAGTTGTTCATATCAGTACCTTTAGTCCTAATCAGATCATGTATATCATCTACTAGAGTATGACAGTATGGTTTACTGTTTTAAATCTTTCATTTGGATTACAATGCAATTTTATATGTAACTCTCTTAGAGTTTTTGCCCCTATGCCTTGCACTGTAATTACTATCGAACATTTGATACTTCTACTAAAATATGTTATTCTGTATACATCTTCTAATGCACTGATTTTCAATCAGTAAAGGTTTAATTATTCAATTTGACCAACTGAATGAATATGTGCGACAGTTTGGAATATATTGAATGCAACTGTAAACACCTGTTTGGTACCTTGTTTCTGTAGTACTCAAATCTTCTAAGCTGGGGTAACCTTAACTGAACCAGTCTGAAAATTTTGTCTCCTCGAAAAATCTGTGACTAGTCCTATAAAATATGAGATAGTTGCTTAACAGGTCAGTAGTATCAGTCATGATGCTGGACCTTCCCTGAGATTGGCATCTCATTTTCTCAGGCTCATACCATGTTGTCATTCTATTTAGATTTCTGCTCCTGATCTTTTGTATCCCCATTACTGTGTCACCAGTATCAACCAGATCTTACCAGAGTATCCTTTCTTACTATCTGCCCATATCTCCTGTGATTATTTGCTGCTTAAATTTCTGTCAGCTTACTACCCATGAGATAGCAATGTGGATTTGTCCATTTAGTGATGGTGCATATGTGCTCTTTGTCCTTTCTTCCCAAAGTTGGCCCTTACTTATTGGAACTTTCAATTAACAACTGTCTTTTCCAGTCTGTTAAAGGGCATATCCCTTGGCCTTATTGTACTCACACGTCTCACTTTTATTTGACCTCAAATATACCTAGGCTTCTGATCTCAGCCCAAGCCCTCTTCTGACAGATAACTCCTTGAAAGGTGGTTGGCTACTACAGAAAAAAACGTTTTCTGACCACAGTGATATGTAAGTATAGACTAAATGATTTGCTTGATGTGGTGTTCTGGCATCAGATGGCAAAAGACAAGACCTAAAACAGACCATCTGCATTATAATCTTCTGAGACTGCTGTTAGAAGGCAGATATTTTCATCATTTTGGAATATAATGTGGCAAGTTTTTCATTAGTTAGATATATTCAAGTTAGTGAAATTTCCTTTGTTTACTTCCTTAATGTTTAAATGCCCTTTCTTTCTTTCTTTCTTTTTTTTTTTTAGACAAAGTTTCCCTCCTGTTGCCCAGACTGGAGTGCAATGGTGTGATCTTGGCTCACTCCAACCTCCGCCTCCCAGGTTCAAGTGATTCTCCTGCCTCAGCCTCCTGAGTAGCTGGGATTACAGGCGCCTGCCACTACGCCTGGCTAATTTCTGTATTTTTAGTAGAGTTGGGGTTTCACCATGTTTGCCAGGCTGGTCTCAAACTCCTGACCTCCGGCGATCCACCCACCTCGGCCTCGCAAGCTGCTGGGATTACAGGCGTGAGCCACCACAGCTGGCCCTAAAATGCCCTTTCTTTCATGAACTAATAATGATGATAGATGTCAGTTTGTGTCTCTTTAACATTAGTAAGTCTGGAAAAAGTTAGTAACCCTTTAGCAATGCAGATGCCTGAGAATTTCCACAGACTTGTAGAATCAAAATATCTGGGAGTATGGCACAGGAATCTGCAATTTTAATAAGTTCCTCTAAGCCACTCTTATACTAAGTTTGAAAGGACACTTTCCTAAACCAATAATAAAATATTATAAGAATAAAGATGGTGGGACTGAGGGGAAGCTGACTCCCAGAAGCAAAAGGAGGGGATTAAAATGCATAGGGATATAAGTTACGACTTGGTTTAATATTTGAGTAAAAGAAAGCTTTCAGACAAAAATAAAGATGAGTAAAAACTGTATTATATACTTGAAATTTGCTAAGATTGTAGATGTTAAATATTCTCAACACCAAGAAAACATAACTACGTGAGATGGTAGGTAGGTTAACTAACTTGATTGTGGTAATCATTTCACAATGTAAATGTGTATAAAACATCAAGTTGTATATCTTAAATAGGTATAGTTTTAATTTATCAATTATAACTCAATAAGGCTTCAGGGGAAAAGCTTAAGAAGGAATGATTGCAAAGTAGGTGGATGAAAAGTAACTGAAAGACTTTAAAGGAAAATTCTGTCATCAAAAGGTAGCCTTTAGTATGTAATTTGTTATAGCCAATTATCATTACTTTTCATATAATTACTTCCCATTCATTAATACAGATTATGTGCTATGTAATCAACTTAAATTCTATATAAGTCATTGATCTAATGCATAATATTGGTTTTTTAAAATATTGTCTCGACCCAGTTTTGAGGCCCTGGTTAGAGTTGTCCTTTTTCTGAGATGCTCATGAAGTCCAAACCTCAAGTACTGCCCTTAGTGAACTCTCATACTCCTGGCCACTATGCACCCTCTCTGATTATTTCAGAGCCAAGTACCAGACAACTATGGACAGCCCCTATGCCCTGAAGCCCATGGAATTATTCAAATTAGTCAATCCATAGGGAGCCTGCAAAACAGCTAACATCAACCAGCTTGCCATATGTGAACTGCCTTCTCTAACTGTAGCTTGCTCTTACCCTATCCCAATTCTGCCTTTCATCTATCCAAGAGTCAGTACATTATGTCTTGCCATTAAAGGAATTTTTAAATTGTATAAAACATAAGGCCAACTCTAAGCCCTAATATTTAGATATGAATAGTCATTTATACACTACCTCTCAGCTGGATAGTAGAAACATCTATGTGTTTTGCATCTTATAATCAACTGTAAAGAGAGTATTCTTCTGAGATAAAATTATGGTATCACCAGTAAACATGGTAACATATCAGTGTTGCCAGTCACCATGGTGACATAGGTAGAATAACAAATATTTTGCTAACAGTGATGTAAAAGTAATCAGGACTGACATTAATTACAGACAAAGTACTCACTCAAATAGCATATTTTGAAGAGCACTAAAACATGCTTCTTCTTATTCAGAAATATCATTTTAATTTATCTGCTATGATGGCTGAAACTCATTGTCAATCCATTGGTTTTAAAAAGTGTTACCTTCTTAAAATGTATTGAACGCTTGCTATTTTTTTAAGCTTAAAGTTATATGCAAGAGAATAAGGAAAAAATAAGAAATAGAATCCATCCTCAATGACTTCACAGTCCAGGAGGGAATATAGAGACATAGATAGGTAATTATCGTAGAGTTTGCTAAGTATAATGGTACAGAGAGGGAGTGGCCTCTCTGAGTAGAGGACTTTTTGAGGAGCTAATAATTAAGCTAAAACCAGAAGGCTGAGTACAAATTAAGAAGAGTTGAGGAAGTACTTTGGGCAGAAAAAAAAACAGCGCATTAGAAAGCCCAAATTTGTCAGTCTTTTCCAGTAACTTACAACATCATAATTTATTCCTCATATGAGAAAATTTCTAAAAACATAGAATATCTTACTTTTTAACTCATATAAGAAGACATTAGAATACAAAGAACTTAAAAATATTATTTCTTACTACAAAAAAAGTGTAGAAATTTACTAAACCTAGACAGGTTGATCAACTAGATGGGAGCTAGAAACAATTTATTTTTTCTTGCAGAACTGCTTCAAATACAAAAAAAAATAAGATTTTTTTAAAATGCAGAGCTATTTGTTAAATTGCCACAATTTTAGTGAAGATTCAGGTTTTGATGAGTATATGAATCACGCTTAATTTTCTGTGGCTGACTTTGTATTGCAAATCTCAGGCTATGTTAAAATAATCAAGAATTTGTCCTCTCAGTTTTACAGTTTCTTAAGGAACTAATGGACTTAAATGCCAACTTTTTGACACAAAGAAACAAGGCAATCTTGGAATTGCAGAACTGAATGTGTGAGTGAGTCCTGTATATATACTGGTATTTCTGAGCCTATGAGCAAACACTAGGCAATATTTCAGTCCACCTGGCTATGTGAAATAACTTTATTTATGAAACTGCGAAAATCAAAGCTTAGATCAACCCACAGTCAGTTATGTTAACTTTGGATCTAAACTGAGAGGTAACCAGTGATGGTTAACTTTATGTGTCAACTCGACTGTGTTAAGGATACCCAGGTAAGCAATGAAACCATTTCTGGATGTGTCCATGAGGATGTTTCTGGAAGAGATTATCATTTGAAACAGTGGAGTAAGTAAAGAAGTGTGGGCAAGCATCATCCAATCCATTGAGAGTCCAGATAGAACAAAACAATGAAGAAAGGGTTAATTTTCTCTCTTTTCTGGAACCCGGTCATCCGTCTTCTCTCACCCTTAGATATCAGAGTTTCAGATTCAGGGGACTTCAGACTCCAGGACTTACACTGGCTTCCCCCTTCACCTGGTTCTCACGCCTTTGGCTTCAGACTGAGAGTTACACCATTGGTTCCACTAGTTCTTAGGCTTTGGGGACTAAATTACACCACTGACTTTCCTGTTTCTCCAGCTTGTGGGTGGCATGTCATGGTACTTTTCAGCTCCCATAACTGTGGGAGTATATTCTCATTATATATACCTTTTATCTATGTATCTATCTATCTATCTATCTATCTATCTATCTATCTATCTATCATCTATCATCTATCTATATTTGTTCTATCTATATTTGTCCTATTGGTTCTGTTTCTGTGGAGAACCCTGAACAAAATGTAGCCTCACTAAATACAACTCACTGCAATTGAGAATAGTTAATGCTAATATATTCCAGTATTCTCATTGACTTGATCCAAATTTATCAATTAAAATAATATGAAACTTTATGCAAATAAAGTTGATAAATTTTATCTTTGTACTGATAACTATGTTTCTGCTAAAATCAATATAATCTTTATAACAAGAAATATCTCACTACTTTTATCATTACAAAATATCATGTGCCTAGGCACATAAGAATTTCTGATCTTCAGTCTAATTGCTGAAAAACTTGGATGCCTTGCCTTATTTCTTCTTTTTTTCATTTTTCAAAAGTTGATTTTTTTCTATATTCTTCAGATGAGTGAACATAAGTACTTCTAGTCTTTTTTAACAGCAGCAAATTCAATTTATATAGCACCTTACCTTGAAAAAACATCACTACTAGTACACTGACATTTTCAGCATATTGCCAAACACAATTTGGAAATTGTGCCTGTTAGCTTTACACTGTTGGCAATTTTAAAAAGGACTCTAAAATGGAGATATTATGTGGGTCATTCGAATTATTTGAGGCTCAGGGTAAATGAATTTTTTCTAAATTTTTATTATGAAAAATTTCCAACATACAAAAAACAAAATGATTAATGTAATGAACCTTCAGGTACTCATCTCCTTGCTTAAAAATTAATCAACAAATGGCCAATTTAATTTAATCTCCTCACCCCTACACTACTCTATTTAGAAGCCAATCCAAGACATTTTATTTCACCTGTGAATATTTCAATATGTATCACTGAGGTAAAATTTCTCTTTTCCGCAGCCTTATTATGCTTAACAAAATAATATTTTGTGAATATCTTCTACTAGCCCATTAATATTCAAATTCCCCAGTTATTTAAAAGCTGACTTCTTTATTCTTTTTGTTTTCATCTGGAACTAAACAAAACCTATCTATTGCATAGAATGAATATAATTATGCATCTCTTCTTTTTTGTTTCTTACATTTAATTTTAAAATATTTCAACCCTGCAGAAAAGAATTGGAGGAATAGTACAATAAACAGTGATATACCCTTAATTTATATTCAATAATTATTAATGTTTCACATTTGTCTGCTCTCCCTTTATATATTCTTTTTTTTACATTTTTGCTAACTCATTGGAAAATAGGTTTCATACATGGTAATGCTTCATCCCTAAACTCTTCAGTGTTTCTGATAAGAAGGGGGAAATGCTCCTATATGAGTCATGGGTGTATAAGGTAAGGCAAGCAGCCTAGTTTGCCTGCAATGCAGGAAAAAAGACCATGAGATATGATTTGTACTTGGGTTTACATTCTAGATTTCACATAAATCACTTACCATCTCAAACTCAGTTTTCTCATCTGTAAAAGCAGCGACAATAATGCATCTTTCAGGAAGATTATGGTGAGGTTTAAATTAGATTCTGTAGGTAAATGTATCTAGCACACGGCCTGGCACTTGGAAGACTCTGTCTACATGTTATTTTTAATCTCTGCTTCTCTTCTTTGCAAGTAAGCACTGCCAGATGGGGAAAGTTAATTGAAAAGGAACATTGAAAAGCAGACTGGGAAGTTTGAATTTACTATGAGAAGTAATTGCAAAACACTGTTGCTCTTTTATGAAGCAAGTGGTCTATTTATAGGTACAATACTGTAAGACATACAATACAGTGTGGAAAATCCTCATTAAATAAACAATATCACAAATACATAGGGAGTATAAATTGTGATAAATAATATTTTTAAATAATAGGGCTTTATAAAGAGAAAATAACAGGGTTAACCTAATTTAGAATGAAGGGTACAGAGACTCTTTCTAAGGATAACACTTAAACTATGATATAAAGATAAGTAAGAGTTAGCAAGGCAAAGAAAGGGGACAAGGAGCAGCCCAGGCAGAGGGAACATCATGTGTAATGGTCTCAGTGTGAGGCAGTGATTGGTACATTTTGAAGACTTGAATAAAGGACTGTGTCACCCAAATATGAAGAACGAGGCCGGGCACAGTGGCTCACAGCTGTAATCCCAGCACTTTGGGAGGCTGAGGAAAGCAGATCGCATGGTCAGGAGTTCGAAACCAGAGTGGTCAGCATGGTGAAACCCTGTCTCTACTAAAAATACAAAAATCAGCCCGGCATGGTGGGGCACACCTGTAGTCCCAGCTACTGGGGAGGCTGAGGCAGGAGAATCGCTTGAACCTGGGAGGCAGAGGTTGTGGTGAGCCAAGATCCCACCACTGCACTCCAGCCTGGGTGACAGAGCAAGACTCTGTCTCAAAAAAAAAAAAAAAAAAAAAAAAAAAGAAAAGAAAGAAAAAAAGAAAAAAGAAAAGAAAAGGAAAAAGAAAAAGAAAAAGTAAAAAGAATGAAGACAAAAGAATGAAGACGGGAGTAGAAAAAGGCAAGCCCGGAGAAGTAGGCAGACTGTCACATGATGATTGAAGAGTTTTCAATAGTGTTGATGTAGTCTAACTTGCTTTAAAAAAATATCACTTTGGCTGCAGTGTGAGCATGAGTTTTAAGACAGTCAAGGGTGAAAGAAAATAAGATCAATTAGGAGGCTATTGCTGTGGTCCAGGAAATTGATGATGGTAGGTTGAACCACATGGTGGAGAGTTTGAGGTATATGTTGAAGATAATGCCTATAGACTTGAGGACAAATTAAATGTGGATGGTAAATGAAAAGGATGGCTTGCAGATGACGTACATAATTTGGGCCTGAGTGACTAGACAGGATGGGACAGACTAAGGAATAAATAGACTGGAGGAGAGTAATCAATAATTCTGTCCATGCTGGACTGTTAATTTGAGATATTTGAGATATACAAGTGGAGATGTCAAAGCAACAGTCGCATGCATGAATCTGGAAGTCAATGAGAGATAATGATGCTGCTGCTGTTGCTGTTGATTATAAAGATACAGCGAATTTTATGGAGTCTCATCTTATTGCACCTGAAAACTACTGTGACTTTTGCGATTTATAAAATACGCATTAGTAGCCTTATTTAGCTTTAATGAGCTACAAAATTAAGGCATGGCATTTTGAAATGGTGTTTTAGCTGTCTTTCTAGAAACATCCACGTCAGTATTTTACTTACTAATTTATAAACACTCAGGTAATTTACAGAAGGTATTCTCTAAAAACTTGAAACAGGAATTAGATGGAAATTGAAAACTTTTATACTGATGCCATTTCAGATTGATCTTGATTTTCTTTTGATATGCTTGTTAATGTCTCAGTTACTTCATCATCAGAGAGTAATACAGACTCACAAGCTCAGAGAAGACACACACCTACTCTTTAAGCTCTGCTATATATTTCATATGGAGACATGGAAAAAGTCACCCTCCAATGTGTAAGAGACTAGGCATAATCCTTAGCTCTTATAATCCACAATATGAAAGTGAAACTGTGGATCTTCATTCTCCCACTACAGCCATAGTACATACTCCTTAAAAATTACTGCTTTTTATAGGAGAATAGGAGCAGCCGAAACCCACTGCTTCTTATGTATTCAGGGGGAAAAACAGAAGTTCTCCTAGAACTTGTAAACAAGGACTTGGCTAGCCCTGGGAGAAATTTAGTGAACTAAAAAGATAGGTACATCCCATGAGCACATAGCTTGGCAAGTAGTGTGTAGGCTGAATTTTTGTCCCTATTTGCCTCTTTAGCCTGGTATCTTTGTTCAGTTAACAACCTAAACAACTCGATGCAGTGACACTGTTTATAAACTGCTTAGGGATAAGAAAACCAGGCAGTGCAATGGAAAGTTCATTGACCTGAGAAACAGGAGGATGATGAGCACTGTCAACATGAGCAAGTCATTTATGCTTTCTGTGTCTCAGTTTCTTTTTTATTTTTTATTTGGTTTTAATCCAATATGACAGATAATCAGCTTCTTTAATTGTAAAATAATATTTTAATAACAATACAAAGTCTATTCCAAAGTTAGCATTTTCTGATCCCTCACATAAGAATGCTAGCTCCTATTACTCAGAAATATATCCTTATGTTAACTTGACATAACCTAAATGACCCTCTAGATTTCAGAGACATTTTTGTGTAGAAAATTTTTCTATGTATTTGCATGTATTTTCTGAAGTGAACTACTTGCTTATTTTAGTCCGTTGAGAACTTGATTTTACAGTACACTAATTTTAAGAAATTTATTTCATGTAAAGGAGCCTGACCATTCTAATGACCCGATAGAGATGTTAATCAAATGGTTTTATATGATTCAGTAATACTTTTTTCCCTTTAGTACAGCAGTTTTATTTCCAAGATTCTATTGTATAGATATACTAGCAGTAAAATGCAAAAAACATATATATGTTATTAATTACAACATAACTGATTATAAGACTGAAAAAATCAGAAAAAAAATAAATTTATATTGATAGCAATGGTTGAATCCATACTGGAAATACTACACAGCGTTGAAAATGAGGTGAATCTACATGTTCTGATCTGGAAGCATCTCAAAATTGTAATCAAGTGAAAAATAAAAGGTACAGAAGTGTATATGATATACTTCCACCTACAGAAAAAACAGAATAAGGTAATACATAAAGTTATATAAAACATACATTTTTATATGTTCATAAAACATTTTAATTCAGTAATACTTTAAAGTGTTTATCATCCTAAAGACAATGATGCAGATCTAATTCAACGAGTGCTACTAAAGCAATTACACTGCCACTTGTTTGAGAAAATTAAGACATTCATTAATTAATATCCCTCTTCATTATAGTACAACTTTCTCAGGTCTACCATAACCATGTCAATCCAGAAGCTCTTTGCTCTCTCAGAAAGAAACATTACAGTTAATGGAAGCTTAGGAGTTTTGTCTGCTTTTTGTTTTATTATTCTTGACATTGCAAAACATTTAAAATATTCCTTTATATGTAACTCATGAATAGTAGTGACTCACATTTTCCTAAAGGTAGCACTAAATCTTCTGAAAAAAAAAAGAAGAAATAGTTACATATTCATAGTGTTATAAAAGGTTTATCCTTGTAGGTCTCTAAGAACTTGCTTTATGAATCTGGGTGCTCTTGTATTGGGTGCACATATATTTAGGATAGTTAGCTCTTCTTGTTGCATTGATCCCTTTACCATTAAGTAATGCCCTTCTTTATCTTTTTTTGTCTTTGTTGGTTTAAAGTCTGTTTTATCAAGACTAGGATTGCAAGCCCTGCTTTTTTTTTCTTTCCATTTGCTTGGTAATTATTCCTCCATCCCGTTATTTTGAGCCTGTATAGCCAAGACAATCCTTAGCAAAAAGAACAAAGCTGGAGGCATCACGCTACCTGACTTCAAACTATACTACAGGGCTACAGTAAACAAAAGAGCATGGTACTGATACAAAAACAGACATATAGACCAATGGAACAGAATAAAGAACTCAGAAATAATACCACATATCTACAACTATCTGATCTTTGACAAATCTGACAAAAACAAGTAAAAGGAAAAGAATTCCCTATATAATATATGGTGCTGGAATAACTGGCTAACCAAACACAGAAGATTAAAACTGGACCCCTTTGTTACATCATATACAAAAATTAATTCGAGATGAATTAAAGACTTAAATATAAAACTCAAAACTATAAAAACCCTGGAAGACAACTGAGGCAATACCATTCAGGACATAGGCATGGGCAAAGATTTCATGATGAAGATGCCAAAAGGTAATTGCAAAAAAAAGCAAAAATGGACAAATAGGATCTATTTACACTAACAAATTTCTGCACAGCAAAAGAAACTATCAACAGAGTAAACAGACAACCTACAGAATGAGAGAACATTTTTGCAAACTATGCATCTGAAACAGGTCTAATATCCACCATCTATAAGAAACTTGAATCAATTTACAAGAGAAAAACAAACAACCCCATTAAAAATTGGGCAAAGAACACAAACAGACACTTTTCAAAAAAAGACATACATGTGGCTGACAATCATATTTAAGCTCAACATTACTAATCATTACAGAAATCCAAATCAAAACCACAATGAGATATCATCTTATGCCAGTCAGAATGGCGATTATTAAAAAGTCAAAAATTTAACAGATGCTGGCGAGATTGTGAAGAAAAAGCAATGCTTTGGAAGACAGTGTGACTAGTCCTCAAAGACCTAAAGGCAGAAATACTATTCGACCCAGTAATCCCATTACTGGGTCTGTACCCAATGGAGTATAAATTGTTCTATGATAAAGACACATGAACGTGCATGTTCACTGCAGCACTATTCACAATAGCAAATAGAAGAAATCAATCTAAATGCCCATCAAAGGTAGACTGGATAAAGAAAATGTGATACATATACACCATGGAATACTATGCAGCCATAGAAAATCAAGAGATCATGTTCTTTGCAGGGATGTGCATGGAGCTGGAGGCCATTATACTTAGCACACTAACACAGAAACAGAAAACGAAATACTGCATGTTCTCACTTATAAGTGAGAGCTAAATGATGAGAACGCGTGGACACAGGTGGGCCTATCAGAGGATGGATGGTGGGAGGAGGGAGAGAATCAGGAAAAATAACTAACGAATACTAGTCTTAACATGTTGGTGATGAAATAATCTGTACAACAAACTCCCACGTAACACGTTTACGTATGTAACAAACATGCACATTTTGCACATGTACCTCTGAACTTACAAGTAAAAAAGAAATAAAGTAAACTCATAAAAATAGATACCATCACTTGAGGAAAGTTTGGAACTTTAAACTGTAAGTTAGAGGAGGAAAAAATGAGCAAAATAATTGAATAGCAGTAGAAAGAAGAAGTCACAAGCTTGTATTCTCATAAAAGCCAAGAAATGAGAGCCTTATTAAGGAAAGTCATCTGTTTTAAATGCAGAGAGATTCAGGATAGATGAGGAAAACCATCAGGTGGCTCGGGATAGTTAGCTTAAAGCAGTTTTTAAAAAGAAAATATTTTTCCTGAGCAGCATAATAATGTCATGCCACTAATAATGTGTCAGTTTGACATTCACACCAAAACAGTGTGATCAGAGGGAAAGTTCAAGGAACTTGAATATTGAATACGAATAAAAACAAAGACATAAGAATTTAGGTATATTGGCTTTTATAGAGTTGAAAACCAGAATTTTTTTGTCGTAAATTCAAATAAGGTTGAAAAATGTGGACAGAAAATATGTTTAAACTTCTCTGTGAGCCTCATTTTCTCAGAAGAGGAGGACTGTGATTTTATAGATGTGTTTATTTTTAATGTACATGTAATGCAATATTGCCATCTAGTGAAGTCAGCAACTGTGATCACATAAAGGATGTTTAAAAAGAAAAAAAGACTATGATTGTGTCATTCCCAGTCAAATTTATGTCATATTCTGTATAATATATTAATATACACTGCCTCAATTCATCACTCTTCAATTTATTTCAGTAAAATATTATTTTCCTTGAATGAGAACTCAACAAATAAAAATTTGATGTAGCTATACAGGAAACATTAATAATATAATATTAAGTACTATTTTAAAAGATTGATATTCCTGTAGACAGGCATCCTAGAATTCTGATATGTAATTATATGAACATTATGATAGTTTAAAACATCTTAAAGCATATATTAGCAGGAGGCCAAGAGTTTAAACTATTTTACTTATATAGACTAAATATTTCACATGAGCTTGTATCTCGAGCTTTATCAAAAACAGAATGAGCATATATTTGTGTTTTACCTTAAACACACCTTTTACAATTATGACTTTAAAAGAAAACTCACAGAGTACCCCCAAAAAATCCCAAAATTGTTCTGTCTCTGTTTAGTATATGTATTAGTTCCTTCTCAAGCTGCTAATAAGTACCCAAGACTGGGTACTTTATAAAGGAAAGAAGTTTAATTGACTCACAAGTTAAGCAGGGCTAAGGAGGCCCTCAGGAAACTTACAATCATGGCAGAAGGTGAAGAAAACACATCCTTCTTTTCATGATGGCAGGAAGGATAAGTGCCAAGCAAAGGGAGGAGCCCCTTATAAAACCATGGGGACTCCTGAGAACTCACTCACTATCATGAGAACAGCATGGGGGTAACCGTCCCCATGATTCAATTACCTCCCACCAGGTCTCTCCCATGACATGTGGGGATTATGGGATTACAATTCAAGATGAGATTTGGATGGGATACAAAGCCAAACCATATCAATATATACTCAGAAATCCTAACCGTGCACTAAAATGCATAAGACAAGGAACAAAGACATACTAGACAGGAGGCCACACTAGTTATCTGGAGAAACCATTCTCTACTGCTGACTTAGAAATCTAGGTGACTTTTCAAAACCCATCCCACAAAACCAGATGGTGGAGAGACTTTCATATCTCAGGCTTGGTTCTACGTAAAGGAGACACATTAAAATCTTAACCATGAGCTAATCCTCACATGGATTTGGAACTAGAATTCACTCTATTTGTCCATCCCTTCAAGGAACATCTACATCAAAATTTAATTTAAATAGGTCCTGAGTGGGCTGTGCTCCCAGGTATTACATCCACTATGTGGATTTAGTTAATGCAGCTTCTCTTTGATAAAACATACCGCAAAGTGTCCACACTGATTTTAAAAAATAAAGTAAAGGCAAATACAAGTAAAAATTTAAAAGCACAAGAGAAAATATGACAAGTTAGAAAAGAATTAGCAGAAATGAATTGCAGATTAAAATCATCAAAAACTGCAGATATAGGAATTATAGGATACAGAATAGATTTATTCCTAGATGGAACTCATATGTTAATACATACATATATATGTAAATACATATATATGAATTTATATAAGCATACATATTTAATATGAAATATTATATATATTATTTTCTCCACATTGCATACTGAATAATAATTAGATTCAAATCATTTTATCTTTCCTCTCTATGCTAATACAGAAAGTAAATTCTAAAGTATACACAGCAAAGACTTACCAAACATAGCTTGTAGGAAAAATTGGGTGCATGAATTTTGACAATTGACACCAACTGAAGATTTTGCCTTTATTTTTTTAAATGAAGAGTCTACGTTTTTAGAGGATCGAGTCATAAGAAAAAAAAAGAAAACACGTAAAACAGTCCTACAAAACAATAAGTAAAAATCCCAATTAGAAAAACAAAGTACAGCTACATTTACACACAAAGAAATATGTGGCCAATAAACATGATCAGCCTCATTCATAATTAAATAAAAAAATTAAAGCAATGATGAGATACATTTTCCATTTCTTACACAGGCAAAAATTGAGATGCTTGAAAATGTCTAATGTCAGCAAGGTTGGGGGGAAAATGTTATTATTTCCTATCGATAGGTGTTTATATTGTTGCTAGCACTGTGTAGAAAAACTCTTGAATAGCTACCGAAATGTTAAATCCATTGTACCATTTGCCCCAGTAATTTACTTTTTTGGGGGGATTATTCTATAGATATACCAGCACACATGCATGAATGTTTACCCATAAATGTTATTTATTGCATCTTTGTAATGGAAAAATGGAAACAAGTAAATGTCTCATCAATAAAATACTAGCTATAAATTTTGAAACTTCCATACAATAGAATACTATTGAGAAATGACATAGAAATATATGAGCTGGTAGTTAAATATCTCTCCAAATTACATCAAGTGAAAAAATAAAAAACAACAACCCTCTGTCCATGTGCATGTGCACACATACACATATACGCATACTACATGTATAATATGTATGGTGACATTTTTATGGACTTGATCTAATTTATGTGTATTTGCTATGTCAATTTTTATAATATGCATGTTCTAATTTCATAGTAATTTTAAAACTCTGATTGTTTTATAACATTAACAAGATCAATGATACACAATACAGCACTGATAAGAAATATCTGCTTCTGTTTAATGCTTCTGGGTTCTTTTCAAAAAATCCCCCTATTTTATACATCACAAACCTGCAAGACAATTTATTTCTACTTTGATTCTTAAAAGAGTATGAGTTAGAAAGAATCCCCAAGGTATGAATAATTTCCACAAGGTTTCAAATATCTTCAATTACATAATCTATAGTTTTAAAATCACAAGAATCTAAAACCACTTATTGCTCTTTCTTCCTTCCAGGTTTAAAATTTTAATATCCACTTTCTAGTTATAATTTAATAAATACATAAAAATTAATTATGCAAAAATAAAAACAAAAGGAAAACAAATAATAAAGTAACTGAAAATCCTAAAGTTTAAAATTGCAGCAGTGCATTATAATTGTTGTATTTTGTCTAATGAGCAGTATTTTTCTTTAAATGATAAAGTTATGTTTTCTACTATATAAAATTATATATATTGTCAATAATTTTGTCAAAAATTTCTCAAAAATAAAAAAACTCATAAATTCTCAATAAATTTCTCATAAATTTTCTCAAATTCGAAAATAGTCTAATTTGTTTATATAACACAATTATGTACAAACTTAAATTTTATCAGATGCTGACCTCCATTGCAATAGATATTTTCCATTCAGAAAACCATTTATACAGTTAGCAAGCTGTCATTCAGCAAAATGCAATTTTTAAATTAAACAGATGGTGATATCAAAGAAATTAATGAACACACACGTTTGCTTTCTGTACTAATTTGCATTTCTAAATTATTCAGGTTATGCTGCAATTAAGCATTAATTGTTTTTAACTAAACGCATATCTGAAAATTAATGACACATTAAAATTAAATTGTCAAAGAAATGTCATGATTCCTATTGTTGCTGAGTCATTGCAACATTCTATTGAGATATTTTCAAGTGCACATAAGAATGTAAATAATAATGATGCTGATTTACTGCATCTTACAATGTGGTTTTATTGTACCATATTTAAAAAAGCATGGCATCCTCACATACACAACTATTTAACTGAAAAGCTAAAATTTGCAAGGCCGTTATGGCCTGAATATGTGTCATATATATGAAACTCCTTAGTCTCCTAACATAATTCTTGCACAAACTATTGCAAATGATGGTGACTTTCGATATACAGTTAGCCAAGTGAACTTGACATTTTATTATAATGATTTGGTGGATAAAGCAATTATTTGGTAAGATAGATTACAATAGGGCTATGAGGGAAAAAATTAAAAGAAATGAAGTGAATGCTCAGAAAGCATTCATCTGAATAGAAATCCATGAATGAGCCTGAGAGTGGAAACACAATAGAATACACGTAGTTGAAATAAGTTCAATAGACTGGTGAAGTGTGAATACTGCCATGGGAGTCTATTTTCTATTGACCAACAATATAGAAATTGTGGGGAGTAGATGATGCTTACTAATTGATGTTAAAAAATTGACTTACAGGCAAGATACGGCAATAAATATCAATTTCAACCATCCTAACACTTTGTAGGGTTCACATTTTGCTAAAAGCAAGGCATCTAATCCATTCTAAGGATATACTATTTACATAAAGTGAAATTCAAATATCCCACGAGAACAGATGATCCCTCCTGACAGACATAAGCACACATGTAACCAGCACTTGAATCAAGATATAAAACATTCCAATCACCCCTGAAAGTTCTCTCTTATTTTTATTCAATCAATTCTCACCCCCAACAGCAACCACTATTCTGATTTCCATAAATACATATTATTTAACCTGTTCTAGAACTTCTTATTTGTTTATTTATTTTTTATTTTAAGTTCTGACATATATGTGCAGAACGTGCAGGTTTGTTACATAGGTATACATGTGCCCTGGTGGTTTGCTGCAGCTATCAACCCGTCATCTAAGTTTTGAGTCCCGCATGCTTTAGTTATTTGTCCTAATGCTCTCCCTCCCCTTGTCCCCCACCCCCTGACAGGCCCTGGTGTGTGATGTTACCCTCCCTGTGTCCATGTGTTCTCATTGCAGAACTTCTTATCAATGGAATTTTCTTCTGGGTCTGGCTTCTTTCATTAAGCACAGATCTTGGTGTGCCATGGTGGTTTGCTGCACCTATCAACCCGTCATCTAGGTTTTAAGCTCTGCATGCATTAGGTATTTGTCCTAATGCACTATAATATCACTGTAAAGCTACCCAGCATTCACCTCTTAAGTTAAAGACTGAGGGGATCTTCACCTCTCTACAGTGAATCCCTCAACTAGATAACATGAATTTGTCCTACATGTATGCAGGGCTTAAAACCTAGATGATGGGTTGATAGGTGCAGCAAACCACCATGGCACATGTATACCTAGGTAACATACCTCCACATTCAGCACATGTATCCCAGAACTTGAAGTAAAATAAATAAAAAATAATAACAACAACAATAAAAAGAAAATCCATCCATGTTGTTGCATGCATCAATAGTTTTTTTTTAATTACTGAGAAGTAGTCTATTGCATCATTGGCTTATAATGCTTTTTTAGCTTTTTATTTCAAAATAATTGTAGGTTTACATGAGAGTTGTAAAGACAGCATACAAAATTCCTGTATACTCTTTGCCCAGCTTCTGTTAACTTTAACAGAAGCTTACATAATCAGGGTACATTTATCAAAACTAAGAATTTAGCAGTGGTATGTTGCTATTAACTAAACAGCAAACTATTCATATTATACTAGTTTTTTAAAATTTTACTAGTGCCCTTTCTTTGTTCAAAGATCTAATCCAGTGTCCCATTTTACATTTGGTTGACATGTCTCCTTAGCCTCTTCCAATCTGTGATACTTCCTCAGTCTTTCCATGTCTTTCATGACTGTGAAACTTTTGAAGAATAATGGTTAGGTATTTAATACAGTGTTACTCAATTTTCAATTTGTCTGGTGTTGTCTTATGATTAGCCTGACATTATAGATTATTGGGAACAAGAACAGAGATGGAATATCTCCTTTGCTGTCACATTATATTTGGTTTACCTATCAAAATTAATTATTATTTGTGAAGCTAAACTTGATACTTACTTTAGATGATGTTTACCTGAATCGTCCAATGTAAAATTACATTTTTCTCTTTCTATACTTTATTAGAAGGGAGACACTAAGTCCAGTACATATTCAAGGAAGGTGAATTAAGTTCTACCTCCTTTGGGGAGGAGTATCAGATATATTTGGAGTGTATGTTCAAACCACTACAGAAGTTAGTAAATATTTTTGTGTTGGGGGGAGTATTTTGAGGCTATGCAAACAAAATGTTTCTCAAAGTTTTCCCTATTGATTGCATCATTCACCTGTGGATCTTGCCTGTGGTAATTATCACTGTGGTGTTTTAATGGTGCTTTCCTATTTCTCCCATTCTTTCTACATTTATTAGTCAGAATTATCCTACAAAGAATATCTGCCCATTTTCCCCATTTACTTAATTATTAAAACATTTATTAATTGCAGTATGGACTCATGGATATTTATTATTAGGGTTATATGCCAATAATATTGTTGATTACTATGTTTCTTACATTGTTTCAGTCTTGGCAATTGGGAACTCTTTCAGGTTGGCTTTTGTGTCATTTGGACATGCCCTTATCGTTTAATTTTCAAGCCTTTTTTGTTGTTGTTGGCACAATAAGATTCTTCAAGTTAATCTTTTATTTTTACTCTTCCATTCCTGGAATCAGCCATTTCTCCAAGGAACCCTAGTTTCTTTTATTGGAGAATGGTATTTAGAATCAAAGATCTGAACAATGAATGTGCTGGTGACTACTAGGATATGATTGTTCCCAGGAACTCAAAATATATATTTTTACACTATTCCACATATGCATGTGTATCAATATTCATGTATCTAGCTATTTATGTATTTATGTTTATGTATATGTATATATGTGTGTGTCTATATATATATATAAATAGATATATAAATTCATCAAAAATTTGCATTCTCATCAAAGACTAAAGACTGCCTTAAGATCAGGACAGGGCTTTAGTTATTTTGATAAGTTTAAATATTATCTACTTTATCAGCTCTCAGTATTTTGTAATATCAGTGCTCTTATGCCCTGCTATAGCCTCTAAAAATACTTGTCAGCTAGAACAGTGTTATCAATCATTATATTCAACAGAAATGCCCATGAAGTTTATAAAAATGCAGATCATCTGGCCTCACCCTTAGAATTCTGAATCAGTAGATTTGAGGAGAGGTGCAAGTATCTGCACTTTAAATAAGCACCACTGGAAATGTCTAGTCCCTTTATATCTGCCTGTGGAAATCCCACTTGTCCTCCAAAGCCAGGCTTAAATTGTGCTACTTGTGAAGGCATCCCTGATCCATGACAGCCACTCATGAATCATGTGATCTCTTCTGCCCTACATTGTGGGACTGGAGCCGTATGGAGAGGCATTGGCAGTGGGAATCAGGGTATGTGGGAAGAGAGCTGGAATGGAGCTGCCGAGTAGAAAACGAGCAGAGGCTAGAAGTTTGGCACTGAAGTCTTGCTTTGAAATAAAACTTTAGAGCTCCTTTAGTTCAATGTACAAGGGCTAGAACTGGGTGAATTACAAAATACCCAATACAGTGCCTTTGAAAGGTCAGAAGACTTAGCAGCAACCTGATGGTAACCATAACCAAGGAGAAGGACCAGAAGCCATGTCAGGCCAGGAAGCTGAGCTGGGAAGTATGGGACAGGATGCATGACCAAAGGGCTGGCAGTTGGATAAGTGCTCTGCACATGTTCAGAAGATAGACGCAGTGAGTGACTGGTGGTAATAAACCTACTGAGGGGCTTTTCCTGGCTGAGAAGAGGAGAACAGGAAACAAGCAAACTAAACTTGTGAAGGTGGGAGATAGTCACATAACAGAGGGAGAAAAAGGTCACAGCAAGGAGGAGTGTGACACACAAGAGGATATGCACCGTGGGCCCAACTAGGAACTGAAAGAGCTGGGACTTTGCCCAAGTTCAGTGATGATATCCATGCTGTTTGCCCTGTCCAGCCATCCTCACAGTATAATGTTCCTTGTACCTGCTTGTGAAAATGCATGTTTCCAGGCCCAGTCTACAGCGATTCCCTATGACTCGCTAGGTTCCCTCTGACTTGGAGAGGGGCCCATGATTTTGCATTTTTTGAAGCGCCTGGTTCACTTTCGGCCACACTTTGAAAAACACTGTCTCTAATTCTTGAGTCATC
The DNA here is from genome assembly GCF_000001405.40 of Homo sapiens. Classification (NCBI taxonomy): domain Eukaryota; kingdom Metazoa; phylum Chordata; class Mammalia; order Primates; family Hominidae; genus Homo; species Homo sapiens. Next base: position 87,850,429 of record NC_000023.11, on the reverse strand, counting down.
TTTTCTAGCTGGGGTGTTGTCCCATCCGAGTTTGAAAACTGAATCATCATGTTAAATGGCAATCTGAACACTCTACAAAATTCCATCAGTGCTTTCAAAGCAGATGTTCATATAAATGTTAATTATATTTTTAGTCTCCATGACAATCTATTAAGCTAATAGTTTCTCTTATGACTGGGCCAACAGAGGAACAAAACGCTTATATTTTTAATAAATTTGTCTACGTCGCCTTTTAAAATATAATGTAAGCAAAGACATCAAAGAAATGTCAGCATCAGAGTTCTATTTAGTCAGTGTACAAATCCCAACCATGTTTTGGAAGAAAGATTGGGTAATATGTTCTGGCAATAAATTTGTGGGAAAATAAAGCAAAATAATCTATCATTTTAACAACCTCACACTGGTGGCATAGGTGATGGTAGGGTATAGCAATATTGACAATATCCATTGAAGGGACTTTCTTTTTTTCCAGAAGTACTAGATAATAAAAACATACTTCCCAGAGCTTTTTAGTAAGTATAGCCTTATATAAGCAGGAGGGAGGTATTTTAAAAGATAGTGTGAATTAGCCGGGCGTGGTGGCGGGCGCCTGTAGTCCCAGCTACTCGGGAGGCTGAGACAGGAGAATGGCGTGAACCTGGGAGGCAGAGCTTGCAGTGAGCTGAGATCGGGCCACTGCACTCCAGCCTGGGCGGGAGAGCCAGATTCCGCCTCAAAAAAAAAAAAAAAAAAAAAGATCAGTGTGTTCAGATAGCTTGCAATGACACGTGAGAGTGGTAGTGGCTTTGGGAAAAGATGAGAAATAAAATTGGGATTCAAATCCAAATTCGTCTGACTTTAAATTCACACTTTTAACTAAATTAATTGTTCTCAAACTTAGGAGGGTTTAAAAATCACTGTGTGGCTTATTCAACATACAGATTCTTAGGTTCTTCTCTTCCCACAATGTCTGAATTTGTGGGTCTGAGTTGAGTCTCAACAATCAGTATTTTATAATAGTAGTCCAAGATTTCTGTTGTTAGAGTCCTGTGGACAATAACTTGAGAAAATATGGACCATAGGACTGTGCAAAATATTACACAAAAATTGGAGTATAGATTATCAACAGCTGGCTCTGGTAATACTATTGTTTTCTGTACCAGCTATTTATCATGACAGCTCTGTTCCAAGGACACATCTCAGGGCACCTTCACAGCTGCAGAATTAGAGTCTCTTGGGTAGGACCATCTGTATCTATTATAAACAAAACTATCTATGTTATTCTGACCTGGAGCGAAGACTCAGAGAATACACTTTAAAAACTGAAGAAATTCAGAGTGACACAGAATTGCAACTTTGCCTCATCTTAGAGAACATGGGAGAATACCTAAACAAAGCAGCTTTGACTCCAGAGCTCTACCATTTAAGCATTTAAAATATTTCCCTTAATTCTGATGAAAACGCCTTAAGACTAAATTAATTAAAATTGTAGATAGATCTATTTTGCCAATCCGAGTACAGTTGCTCTTACAACCCTGGATTAGATAGAATAATCATGCTTTCCTTGTAGATTTGATGGAAAGTTCAATAAGTTAGCATATATAAAGCACCTAATTTATGGGTTATACTGGCTACGTCATAGCAGTTTTACAGTAAATGGTGATTCTTATTACTTTCAATCTTTCAGAATATGATTATTCAATTGTAGTAATTACCGTAAATTATAATGGCAGTTTGTGGTATCTGCCTATGGTCACTTTAATATTATGAAAATACAACCTTATCACATCTATTTAGACAGTAGCCTAATTTTTCCTTTACTCAAGACTCTTGAGAATTTCAGCATTCCCAAGAAGTCTACTAATGCAAAAATATAAAAAAGTTATTACTGAAAAAAGAAAAGGAAGTAAAATGTTACTAGGTGTTCTCTAAAAGGAACTATGCATTTTAACCTGGCTCCTCTTTAGAAATATGATTTTAATTCTCAAGTTTTAAGGTATATATTTTTTTAACCAGAGGATTCATTAAGCTCAATGCTATGTGGTGAGTTTGGTTGTTCTTCCTATTTCTTCTGAACTGTCAGCAGTTTCATGAGGATTCTGAAGAAACCTACACTGGGAATCTAAAAAGTTAAATGCCTGGAGTAAAACAGAATATAACAAGCAAACAGAGCTGAGAAATTTTGGGAAATCACAGTTTCTAGTTTTTGAAAGTTTCTCTTGCGCTATTTAATAATTAATTACAAGTATTGATTTTTTATTTTTGAGACAAAGTCTCGCTCTGTCGCCCAGGTTGGAGTGCAGTGGCGCAATCTCCGTTCATTCAACCTCTGCCTCCTGGGTTCAAGCAATTCTCCTGCCTCAGCCTCCCGAGTAGCTGGGACTACAGGTGCGCCACCATGCCTGGATAATTTTATATTTTTAGTAGAGACGGGGTTTCACCATGTTGGCCAGGCTGGTCTTGAACCCCTGATCTTGTGATCCACCTGCCTCGGCCTCCCAAAGTGCTGATTGTTTTGACTTAGTATTGTCAGCTCATGGGTAAAGTAGGACAAGAAAACGATGTCATATGGTGTAATAACAGAGAAATTTAGGAAAATAAAACAAGATTTGCAACAAGTGACTTAACATCAAAATTTGTCCATATCCCAAAGCTGGACTTTCAGGTGTGCTCGGCAATAATCTATCAATTTTTTTTCTTTAAATACATTTGAGAATTAGAACATAATAATAAAGCTATGAAATAGTCATCTTCAGGCCCAATCCCACCCCAAACAAATACCAAAGTAGACACTATCTTCATTACCTTCAGGAAGAGTATATTCATAGCAAAAGCGGAAAGAAATGAATGATCATTTAGTTACAGCAGATGAGAGTTGTATACTGTGGCTAATAATGCAGAACATGTAATTTGAGTTAACTAAAGTTAATAGAGAATGTATTTTCATATGGAGATGATTGAAAACCTTTTGAATCCTCTAAGGCTCATATGATTAGAAATATACAATTTCCACCAAAGAAAGAAATGTATTTTATATTGGAATTTTGCAATTTCTTTTTTATAATAGTTATGTAAGTAGGAAAAAAAAGTATTACAGTTTTCTCACTTGGTTTCTGAAATTTTATAGAAGTTAAAAAAATACAGCTTCTAGAATTTCTATGGAAGGTATACATTTTCTTTGATTGATATCTTTAGATTACTTTTAAAAAGGGACTACTTTATCTTGCTTTCAACATGACAAACAACAATTCTGGAGAAAGAACAGCACAATGAGGCCTTTGTGAAATAGAGGACAGAAGTCCACAACACATAGTGGCTTTCTATTAGCATTCCGCCTCACAACTACATCAAGTTTAAGCTTATGATTAGAAGTTTAAATTATCTTTTTCTACTTTCATACACACTTAATTGCTATGAGTGTCTACTATCCAATTGGTTGCAGTCCCTCTTATGTAATGAAACTATGTATTTAAAGAGCTGAACCCATTGTTTTAGAAACATCAGAACTCTACACATGTCCTTGGCCTTACTGGGTATGAGGTACTATAAAGAACCACAGGAATAGAAGCTGATTAAATAAAAACATAATTTTATAGAAAAAATATTTTTATCTATCTTGTTTTGACAGAACTCAGGTTCTCTGTTCAGTGAATCATTTACTTCTTTATCAAAAGTGTGCTGGCAAAGAATTATTTTTATATTTTTTATGCAACATGTTTCACCTTGAGTTTCTATTGTCTCTTTGTTTTTAGTTATATTGCAATTGCCATGTAAATAATACTAAGTGAGTTATCTGACCTACGTTAAGTGAATAGACATATTCCCTATAACCATTTTAGAGTTGGATATATAATACAAGAAAGAGACATTGATTTACTTTTCACATTTCATTACCATGCCAAATTGAAACATTGATTCAGGTAGCTATTCCTTGTACAGATCAATCCAAAATGCAGTATAATTAGTCATAGAAAGTAGAGTTGAAACCAACATAGTAAGTTACCCAATTCAAAGACAGGCAGGTTCATACTGTTCTTTCCAGTATATTCTTATGTTTTGTTCAGGTTAGCTATCATTTCTTAGTTCTTATTATCTAAATTACTCCTTTGAGCTTTCATAATCTACTACATCGTTGATTAATGAGCTTTTAAATGATCTTTACTAGTAACTCCCTTGATACTCCTTATGGTTTTTCAATAATGCATCTTATAGAAAGGTATGTCAATATAACCAGTATTATTAATCTACGTACGCTCTTCAAAATGAAACAGAAGTATTAGGTCTTAGGGATTTTAAATACTAATTGCAATACTAATCTTATCAGGGATATTTATATTTTATAACCAAAGGGAAGAGCTTCTACAGTACATCACATTCTGAAGCTGATAGGCTTACTTCTATTCTGAACTAGAAAACATTTTATAAAATAAATGTGACTTCTTTTTTTTTTTTTTTTTTTTTTTTGAAGCGGAGTCTCGCTCTGTCGCCCAGGCTGGAGTGCAATGGCGCTATCTCGGCTCACTGCAAGCTCCGCCTCCTGGGTTCACGCCATTCTCTTGCCTCAGCCTCTTGAGTACCTGGGACAACAGGCGCCCGCCACCACGCCCGGCTAATTTTTTGTATTTTTAGTAGAGACGGGGTTTCACCGTGTTAGCCAGGATGGTCTCAATCTCCTGACCTCGTGATCCGCCCGCCTCGGCCTCCCAAAGTGCTGGGATTACAGGCGTGAGCCACCGCGCCCGGCCATAAATGTGACTTCTTATGCAAAAGTATAATGCTCATGGTAGTGACAGTTTCACCAGCAGATACTAAGACAATGACTCAAAAGGTAATGATTTGGTTCCTAACGTGATGGAGACATTAATGTATGTTTCTTTCCTCAGGATCTATTTGAACATTAAATACACATCTTATTTTGAAGGGTAATATAAGTGAGATATAATGACAGAATTATGTGTACATTACAATGCCCAGTGGTATTCTAGAAGTAACTTTTTACATAGGAAAAAAGTGTCAGTGAAACTGACAAGCTATTTAACAACCTATTAATATATGTAGATTTATAAGAAATGAAACCTATGTGCCACTTAAGAAACTTTGTTCTTGAACTAGCAACATGGATTTAGCAAAAGAAAGACTCCATGAAAAAACGTAAAAGTCAATTTAATCTAAAAAGTGTCAATGTTACTTTTAAGTAATGTAAAAATAAAACCTATCAGTCAAAAAAAGTTGGAAAGATGGCAGATAGGAGACAGGGCAACATGCAGCTCCCATTTGGATTTAACCTTACCTAGAGCCAAAACGAATTTAGGGAGCCACGTGATATATAAAAATAGAAGGAGCTGCAGGAAGAGTGTTGTTGGCACTTCCGGTCTCCAGCTCAAGCCCAGTGAAGCCATCCCTGACATATCTCACAGGGCCCTTGGGGAAGGCAGACGGAGAAATTAGAAAGGGGTCACAGGGTAAAAAAAGACTCCAGCTGATTTTTAAAATTAATTTCTATGGGGCACAAACTTTTTGAGCAGAATCCAGAGGATGAATGGGAAATGCAACAGATAGGAGCACAAGAGCCACCACTGACATTGTGGGCAGATGGGGAGAAGTGAGGCCTGAAAGCCATGCTTGCTTTCTCAGCAGGGAAGCTTATGGCCTGGTGCAAGGTCTGAGTTCTGCATGCAGTCTGCCTGGATCTAAACTCAGCAGTGTTAGCAGGGCACTGTGGGAGCGAGGCCAACCTTGCTGCCCACCCCCCATCCCTCACAGTGGCCACAGAAAGCCCCACTCAAAGAGAGCCTGAGCTCATACCAGCCTAACCTACCCCACTTGATGCTATTTGTCTACCCACCCTGGTAGTTTAACACAAAAGACATAAACTTTTGGGAGCTTTATGGCCCCACCCATTACCTGATAAAGCAGAATACCTACCTTGGCCAACATAGGGCAAATTTATATCCCCCTAATACTACTGCAGCTCGTACTCTCTTGAAAGTGCCACCTCTTCGCTGGAGGCCAATGAACTCAGGCCATTACAGCAGCTCATGACAGAATAACCCTACTTTCAGAAAGAACAAATGAACAGCTAATACAACTGACTGCAACATCCTGGCTACCCAGAGTTCCTGAGTCTGTCCAAGTGACCACTTCACTGCTACAATAACCACCATTCAGGAAAGCCAGCACACTAAGAATATCTACAATCACGGATTCTCACAGAATCTACTTCACTCCCCTGTCACCTCCATGAAAGCAGGTGCTGGTATCCACAGTTGGGAGACCTGAAGATAGATCACATCACAGGACCCGTTGCAGACATTCCCCAGCACAAACTCAGAGCCTAGTAGCCCCATTAAGTTGCTAGACCCAGAAGAGCCACAATAATCACTGCAGTCTGGCCCTCAGGAAGCCCCATCCCCAGAGGAAGGAGAGAACATCACATCAAGAGATCACCCCATGGGACAAAATAATCTGAACAGCAGGCCTTGAGTTCCATATCTTTCCACAGTAAAAGTATACCCAAATAAGGAGAAAGCAGAAAAGTTATTCTGGTAATACAACAAAACAGGTTTCCACCATTGAAATCCCAAAAGATTACACTGTCTCCCCAGCAATGGATTCAAACCAGGAAGAAATCTTTGAATTGCCAGATAAATAATTCAGAAGGTTGATTATCAAGCTACTCAATGAGATACCAGAGAAAGGGGAAAATCAATTTAAATACATTTTAAAAAATACAGGATATGGATGAAAAATTCTCCAGAGAAAGAGATGTTATAAAGAATAAACAATCACAACTTCTGGAAATGAGAAAGACACACTTTGGGAAACATGAAATGCACTGGAAAGTTTCAACAATAGACTAGAATAAGTAGAAAAAAAGAACTTCAAAGCTTAAAGACAAGGCTTTTGAATTAACCCAAGCAAAGACAAAAAAACTTCAAAAAATAAACAAAGTATTCAAGAAATTTGGGATTATGTTAAATAGCCAAACCTAAGAATAATTGGTGTTCCTGAGAAAGAAGAGAAATCTAAAAGTTTGGAAAACTTTTTTGAGGGAATAATTGAGGAAAACTTCCCATGCCTTGCTAGAGATCTAGATATCAAAATACAAGAAGCTCAAAGAACATGTGGAAAATTCGGTGCAAAAAGATCAGCACCTAGGCACATAGTCATCAGGTTATCTAAAGTCAAGACAAAGGAAAGACTCTTAAGAGCTGTGAGACAAAGACATCAAGTAACCTATAAAGGAAAACCTACCAGACCAACAGTAGATTTCTTAGCAGAAACCTTACAAGCCAGAAGGGTTTGAGATCCAATCTTTACCTCCTTAAATGAAATAATTGTCAGCCAAGAATTTTGTATCCAGCAAAACTAAGCTTTGTAAATGAAGGAGAGTTAAAGTCTTTCAGACAAACAAATGCTGGAAGAATTTGCCACTATCAAGCCCACACTACAAGTAATATTAAAAGGAATTCTAAATGTTGAAACAAATAAAACCTTGAAATACACCAAAATGAAACTCCTTAAAGCATAAATCTCACAGGGCCTATAACACAATAATACAATTTTAAAAAACAAGTTATTTAGGCAACAACTCACATGATGAATAGAACAGTATGTCACATCTTAATACTAATGTTGAAGGTAAATGGCTTTATTGCTCAACTTAAAAGATACAGAATAACAGAATGGATAAAAATCCACCAACCAAGTATCTGCTGTCTTGAAGAGACTCACCTAACACGTAAGGACTCATATAAACTTATGGTAAAGGAATGAAAAAAGATATTCCAGGAAAATGGAAATCAAAAGCAAGCAGGAGTAGCTATTCTTATTACATCAGGCAAAACAGATGTTAAAGCAACAACTGTAAAAAAAGACAAAAAGGGACATTATTTAATGATAAAAGGATTAGTCAAACAAGAAAATATCACAGTCGTAAATATACATGCACCTAACACTGGCACTCCCAAATTTATAAAACAATTACTACTAGACCTAAGAAATGATATAGATGACAACCCAATAATAGTGGGTGACTTCAATATTCCACTGAAAGCACTAGACAGGTGTTCAAGACAGAAAGTCAATATAAAACAATAGACTTAAACTACACACTAGAACAAATGGACTTAACAGATATTTACAGAACATTCCTACACAATAACAGCAGAATACACATTATTTTCATCAGCATATGGAGTATTCTCCAAGATAGAACATATGATAGGCCACAAAACAAGTCTCAATAAATGTAAGAAAATCAAAATTATATTAAGTATTCTCTCAGACCACAGTGGAATAAAACTGAAAATTAACTCCAAAAAGAACACTTAAAACTCTACAAATACTCAGAAATTAAATAATCTACTCTTGAATGCTCTTTGGGTCGACAATAAAATTAAAATAAAAATTAAAAATATTCAACTGAATGATAATAGTGACACAACTTATCAAAAACTCTGGGATGCAGCAAAAGCAGTGCTAAGAAGAAAGTTCATAGCCTTGAATGCCTACATCAAAAAGTCTGCAAAAGCACAAATAGACAGTATAAGGTCACACCTCAAAGATCTAGAGAAAAAAGAACAAACCAAACCCAAACCCAGCAGAAGAAAAGAAATAACAAAATCAGAGCAGAACTAAACAAAATTGAAACAAACAAATACAAAAGATGAATGAAACAAAAAGCTTGTTCTTAGTAAAGGTAAACAAAATCGAATGACCATTGGCGAGATTAACCAAGAAAGGAGGATAAACTATCCAAATAAGCTGAATTAGAAATGAAATGGGAGATATTACAACTGATATCACAGAAATACAAAAGATTATTCAAGGCTACTATGAACACCTTTACATGCACAAACTAGAAAATCTAGAGATGGTGTATAAATTCCTGGAAATATACAACTCTCCTAGATTAAATCAAGAAAAATAGTAACTCTTAACAGACCAGTAACAAGTAGTGAGATTGAAACAGTAATTTTAAAATTGCCAACAAAAAAAGTCCAGGACCAGATGGATTTATAGCTGAATTCTATCAGGCATTCAAATAATTGTACTGATCTTATTTCTGTACTGAAAATATTTCAAAATATAGAGAAAGAGGAAATCCTCTCTAAATCATTCTATGAAGCTAGTATCAACCTAATACAAAATCAGCAAAAGACATAACCAAAGAAGAAACCTACAGACCAAATATCCCTGATGAACATAGATGCAAAAATCCTCAACTTAATACTAGCTAACCAAATCCAACAGCATATCAAAAAGATAATACACCATGATCAAGTGGGCTTCATACCAGGGATGCTTTAATGTACACAAGTCAATAAATGTGATACATCACATAAACAGAATTAAAAACAAAAATCATATGATCATCTCAATAGATGCAGAAAAAGCCTTTGACAAAGTTCAGCATCCTTTATGATTAAAACCCTAAGCAAAATTCACATAGAAGGGACATACTTCAAGGTAATAAAAGCCATCTATGACAAACTAATAGCCAATTATACTAAATGGGGAAAAGTTAAAAGCATTCCCCCAGAAAACTGGAAAAAGACAATGATGCCCACTTTCACCCCTTCTATTCAACATAGTACTGGAAGTCCTAACCAGAGCAATCAGACAAAGAGAAAGAAATAAGGGGCATCTAAATCAGTAAACAGGAAGTCAAATGTTGCTGTTCACTGATGATATGATCATATACCTAGAAAATCCTAAAGACTTATCAAAAAAGCTGCTAAATCTGATAAACAAATTCACTAAAGTCTCAGGATACAAAATCAATGTACACAAATCAGTAGCACTGCTATACACCAACAACAACCAAGCTGAGAATCAAATCAGGAACTCAATCACCTTTACAACAGCTGCAAAAAAAAACGAGAGAGATATTTAGGAATGTACCTAATCAAGGAGGTAAAAGATCTCTACAAGGAAAACTACAAAACACTGCTGAAATAAATCATAGATGACACACACAAAAATTGAAACACATGCCATGCTCATGGATGGGTAGAATCAATATTGTGAAAATGACCATACTGCCTGCCCAAAGCCGTCTGCAGATTCAGTGCAATTCCCATCAAAATATCATTATCATTCTTCGCAGAACTAGAAAAAACAACAAATTATAGAACCAAAAAAGAGCCTGAATAGCCAAAGCAAGACTAATAAAAATCTGGAGGCATCACATTACTGGACTTCACACTATACTACAAGACCATAGTTAACAAAACAGTATTGTACTGGTGTAAAAATAGGCATGTAAACCAATGGAACAAAATAGAGAACCCAGAAATAAAGCCAAATACTTGCAGCTGACTGTAATAATTTTGTCCATGAAACAAAGTTTTGACTTGCTTTGGCTGTAACCTGTCACATGAGGTCAGGTATGAAATTTTCCACTTGTGGTATTATGTTGCACTCAAAAAGTTTAGGAGTTTGGAGCATTTTGGAGTTCAGATTTTTGGATTAGAGTTCCTCAACCTGCACTTATCACTTCCTTACTTTTCTTTATAAGACTACAAAGTCTGTAGTCTAAGACTACAGTCTTATCCTATAAGTTTTTATCACTAAACAGTCCAATTTGGTTTTACCTACTTTCATATTTCCTTTAAGTCTCTTTCAATCAATAGGCTTCTATTTCCTTCTCTTTTTCCTCTGTGTAACTGAAGATACTGGATTATTTTTTCTGTAATATCCTACAGCACAGATTTTGCAGATCACATTCCCATAGTACACATGTTCCACTGTCCTGTATATTTCCTGCAGTTGATAGTATAATAAGAATTTTTCATGTATGTTTCCTTATATAATGAGATCTTCAATAAGTAATCAAATGTCCTTATAAATCATATTCATAAATTTGTAAGTCTGTAAAATCATAGGATTTGCATGCATTGCAGGAGATTGGGAGATTAACCTAGGCCCCAAAAGCCTGGACTAATGAAGCATCAGTTATATTTTATGTTAGGAAAATGTTAACTTTTTTCCATTAAAAGCTCCTTATGAAGCTTTTGTATTCAGGGAGTATCACATGCCCACACACACATGGTCTCTGATATATGAGGAAAGAGAAAAGCCAGTGCAAATGAGAGAAGCAGATGGCCTTGCTAAGCAATGTTCTACCTTCTCTATCTCAATTTCACAATTAAAATCAACTTGAAGATACAACTGTTCATAAGTTAGACTTTCACACATTAATATGGTGCTTTTTTATTTGAAGAAATTTTAACTTGGCGTGTGTGTGTATGTGTGTGTGTGTGTGTGTGTGTGTGTGTTTGGTTGCTGTTTTTTTAATTGGTTAAATAAGATAACAAAGAATAAATATTTGAGTACTTATCTGAGACCTAGCTTAGAAAGTTTATTAACAAAACCAGCTTTATAGTCAGCTAGACTTAGTCAGGAAGTGCCATTTGTCAAGTCACTTAGCCTCTCCTGGCTTGAGTTGTCTGTCTGCATTATGAAGAGAAAAATGTCTAAATAATATATTAAAAATGTGCATAGCAGAATACCTCACTAATAATATGATAGTAATAAACAATTGTTCACTACAATAGTCATAGTAGTGTGCTGAATATTAGAAAATATTTTAAAAAGAAATCATTACTTACAGTATATCTAGCAAGATGAGACTTGGATACAACAGTGTATATAAGATAGGGTGCAATAAAGTGGTAGCTGCTGAGAGCAGTTTTTTCTATAGTGGTAAGATAAGAAGAAGTTATTGTTACACTAAGAAAATAATGAGAAGAACAACATATAGCCACCCAAAAGCTGCAGAAATTAAGACCTTAACTTGGGAGAAGCTAACACGATGGAAATTATATATATATAAAAAAGGAGCCATTAAAACAAGAGAGGAGATACAATCCAAGGACAAGAACTTTACGTTGCCCCCTACTCCCCAAAATAAAGCAGCTATGCCATAAAAGGAAAAGATGAGAAAAATTTTCTAAGTCATTTAGCTGTGTTGAATTCTTGACAGAAATAAAAAAATAATTACCAAGTGAAAAAACCTGAAAATCTGAGCATATACTAACAATCACAGAGAACTACAGGTCTTTAACTTCTGTGTTCAGAACTTAAAAATTGCCAACATGTTAAAGATTGGCTTCAACGGGCTGGGCGCAGTGGCTCACGCCTGTAATGCCAGCACTTTGGGAGGCCAAGGCAGGTGGATCATCTGAGGTCAGGAGTTCGAGATCTGCCTGGCCAACATGGTGAAACCTCGTCACTATTACAAAAATACAAAAATAAGCTGGGCGTTGTGGCAAGCGCCTGTAATTCCAGCTACTCAGGAGGCTGAGGCAGGAGAGTGGCTTGAACCTGGGAGGCGGAGGTTGCAGTGAGCCAAGATCACGCCACTGCACTCCAGCCTGAGCAGTGAAACTCCGTCTCAAAAAAAAAAAAAGGAAAGAAAAGATTGACTTCAACTTCCTTGTTTTTATAATTGGCTTTATGAGCAATATTTTTGCATTAAGCTATTAAGAACAATCTAAAGTGCTATTGTTATGCTTTACTGACTGTTATGCAAGATATCACTTGAGTGAAAAATCTGAAAATGGATATTTTCATGTATTTAGGATGGCAGACCTGGAAGCTACAGGTGCTCATTCCCCCACATAAATATTTTTAAAAACCTATAGACATTGAAACAACTTCATAGGAGCTCTGAAAACTACTAAAACATCTAGAGCAATCAAACAAAACACAAATAAGAAGCCACATTCAAAATGGTTTTTGTGGCACTTTTACTCTCCCTTTCCCCACACCCTCCCTGGCATGGCAGTCAGAAGAAAGCAGCCCATTTCCCAGTTTTATTTCATGGAATGGAAGTAGCAAAGTGAAACATGTTTACAACATTGTCACCTTTCCGTGGGCTGCATGAAGTTTTGTTTCTATCTCAACTGATTCAGAGCTTAGATGGAAAATGTCAGCATTCTTTGGATTTCAGTCTTATAGAACCAATGAAAGGCATTGGCAGGTGCTCCAGAACATGAGAACCACATGAAGACAGAAGACCCACTGACCTCTGGGTACAAGATTATAAGCAGAGGAATGAAATAGAACATCTAAGGTCATAAGAAGAAGATGTAATTAAGCTCTTTGGGAAATTAAAACATTTTAAAGCAGACTGGTACACAGAAGAAATTGGTGGAAAAAAAGCACACATGCGATCCCAGGGGAAATTGATGCCCAGAAAAGACCTGAGAAGACCTTAAGCCTTTGCCCCAGGCTTATCACAAGACTCAGGACCCAACTAATTAGTAAAGGCCTTCTCTACCGGTCTGCAAAAAGTGTGAGAATTGGTGGTTTTTTAATATATTCAGCTTTCCGAAGAAGATTGCAGGCATACAAAGAAAGAGAAAAATATACCCAAGAAAAGTAAAATAAATTTTCAAAACTGTCCCTGAATAAACACAGGCACGGGACACTAGACAATGACTTGAAAACAACCATCTTAAATATGTTTAAAGAGCCAAAGAAAAACACAAAGAACTAAAGAAAATCAGAAATATAAATATATATATACACATATATAGAAACAAAATTACAACATCAATACAGAGATATAAATTATGAAAAAAGAACCAGGAGGATGAAATGGGAGGATTACTTGAGGCCAGACGTTTGAGACTAGCATGGGCAACATAGCAAGACACAGTCTCTAGAAAAAACTTCTAAAAAAAATAGCTGGGCATGCTGGTGTATGACTATAGTTCTAGCTGCATGGGACGCTGAGGTTGGAGGATTACTTGTGCCAAGAAGTTCAAGTCGGCAGTAAGCTATGATTGTGCTACTGTACTTCAGCCTGGTTGACAAAGCAAGACTCCATCTCCAAAAATTAAAATCAAAAAAGAAAAAAAAACAAGAAGAAATTTTAAAGCTGAAAAATAAAATGAGTGAATTTTAAAATTAACTGCGGCAATTAAACAGCAGACTCAAACAGGCAGAAGAATCAGAAAAGTTAAAGACTAATTATATAAAATTATTGAGTCTAAAACAGAAGAAGAAGGTAACAGAGTCTGAAAGATTTACATGACACCATCAAGAAGATACAAATATGCATTATGAAATTCCCAGAAGGAGAAGAGGAAGAAAACAGGGCAAAGATTTTATTTGTAGATATAATGGCTAAATATTTCCCAAATTCTAAGAAAGACACCAATCTAAGAATCCAGGAGTATCAATAAACTGAAAGTAGGATAAACACAGAAACCCACACCAACATACACTATAATCAAACTGTCAGAAGACAAAGAGATTATTTTGAAAGCAGCAAGAAAAAAGTGATTGATCACATAATAGAAATATACGGTAAGTTTATTAGTAGATTTTTCAGCTAAAATCTTTCAGGCAAGAAAGTAATGGAATGATATATTTAAAGTACTGAAAGGAAAATAAAATGTCAACTAAGAATTCTATATCTACTTAAACAGTGATTCGCATGCAAGGGAGAAATGAATACATTCCCAGATATACAAAAGCTAAGGGATTTTATTATTAAGCTGTCCCTATAAGAATATGCTAAAGGGATTCTGAAAGGCCAGCCCTCAAATGAGTAAGTCCTTCCCTAGGGCTGACACCACCCTTCTTGCCATTGGGCAAAGGAGAAAAGCAGAAGGCCGGACACTGTCATGCACCCCAAAGACAAATACCACCAACAGATTCTGCTGAGGGCTTCTATGGGACCAAAGCATGAGCAAACCATGTGCCTCAAAACTTCCTGTTTATGCTGCTCCCACTGAGAGTGACTCCATCCTCCCTGATGGCAGGCCTGCAGCGCAGCTGCCACTGCCCCACCTGAGCATTTCACCAGTGGACTGGGGACCACCCCACCACTACATATTACAGCCAACACCTGAGAATTCTACCAGGGGGGTCTGAGGACAAGTCCATCAACTGATCTAATACCCCCAGAATGCAAGCATGTCATTCAGAGACCTGAGGATTGCTCAATCCAGTCCACTACACTCGGCACCTAAGTACTCCTCTCAGGGTCTGATATTGGGCCAAACAAACATGCCAGTACCTACACAGCTGGCTCCCAAATTCACATGCCACCTGTGATTTAGGGTCCTGGCTCACCCAACCCATCACTTCCATGAACACCAGGTTGGACCATGTGGGTTACACTGGGTTGCCCCGACACTTTCACTTCCATTGCTGACAGCATGCCTTCTGCCCAGAGATCTGAGAACATGTCCACAGGCTTGGCCTACTGATACCACTGCCAGAGGCCCAGGAATAGGCCTGGACTCACTAATAGCAGAGTCAGAATACATTGCTCTGGGGCTCAAGGACTGGCATACTCATCCCACCACTGCCACAACTGAGACCCATAGACTGGCCCACCTGACTTCCCAATCCCCAGTAAAACCTCTTCACAGCCTCCACTACTAACATACACTAAGCCCCCAAGAAAACCACAGATACAAATGATGCTGTTTACAACCCCCCCCCAAAAAAGATACAGAGACTACACTGCTGTATGCATCCAAAATAAAAGCCAAAGTGCACTACCTAACCAACACTATACAAACATCTTCAGGAAAAAGATCTCCTTTAAGAAAACAAATTTAAAAAATTGAAAGGATCACTGTCACACACATACACAGAGATCAATGTGAGAACACAGAAAACATTAAAAAAGCAAGGAAATATGACACCTCCCAAGGACCACAATAATTCCCCAGCAAAATATCAATAAAAAATAAATTCACAAAATCTTTCACAAAGAGTTCAAAATATTGATTTTAAAGCTCAACAAAATATAAAAGAATTCTGAGAAATAATACAAAGAAATCAGTAAAACAATTGACTATATGAATGAGAAACTTACCAAAGAGATCATTAAAAAAATTGAAATTCTGCAAATGAAAATTTATTGAATGAAAAATAAAATACCTTTGAAATAGTGAACAATTGAATATATCAAACAGAAGAAAGAATCTCAGAACTTGAAAAAAAGCTTTGAAATTATGTAGTAAGATAAAAAATAAATTTAAAAAATTTTTAAAATAATGAGCAAAGACTTCATGACATTTGGGACAACATAAAGTAACTGAATATTCAAATTATTGATGTTCTCTAGGGTGAAAAAAATAAAAGGCTTAGAAGACCTATTTAACAACATAATAGATGAAAAGTTCTCAAGTCTAGCAAAAGGTTTAAACATTCAGATACAGGATGCACAAAGATACCCAAACTAATATAATGCAAAAATGATCTTCTCCATGGCACATTATAGTCAAACTGCCTAAAGTCAAAGATAATGAGAGGATTCTAAAACCAGCAAAAGCAAAGCATCCATTTACCTATAAAGGAGCTCCCATTAGACTAAAAGCAGATGTCCAAGCTGAAACCTAACCAGTAAGGAAAGAATGGGATAACATATTCCAAGTGCTGAAAGAGAAAAATTGCCACTCAAGGATACTATATCCAGCAAAATTATCCTTCATAAATGAAGGAAAAATAAAGTCTTTCCAAGACAAGCAAATCCTGTGAGAATTCATCATCATTACACTGTCTCTACAAGACATTCTCAAGGGAGACCTGAACTTGGAAGTGAAAAGACAATTACCATCATGAGAACACACTCAATGTGTACAATTCACTGGTAAATCAAACAGGCAAATGAGGAGGAGAAAAGACTCAAATGGAACTAGTACATTAAACCACGAAACCACAATAAAAAATAATCAGAGAAAAAGTAAGAAACAAAGAATATAAAAACAACTAGAAACCAATTAATAATATGATAAAAACAAAACCTTGAATATCAATAATAACCTTGAAAGTAAACGGAATAAATTCTCATCTTAAAAGATGTAGTCTCATAAAACACATTTTTAAAAAAAAGTTTATCTAAGTATATGCTGCCTACAAGAAACGTACCTTACCTATAAAGATACATAGAGACATAAAGGAATGGAAACATATTTCACACAAATAAAAACCAAAAGCAAGCAGGAGTACCTACATTTATATCAGATAAAACAGACTTTAAGTCAAAATAGAAAAAAATTGAGGAAAGTCATTATATAATAATAAAGTGGTTAATCTAGCAAGAGAATATACCATTTATAAATACATATGCTCCCAACACTGGAGCACCCATATAAATAAAGCCAATATTACTAGATCTAAAGAGAAAGATAGACTTCAAAACAAAACTAGAAGGATATTTTAACATCCCACTCTCAGTATTAGACAGATGATCTAGACAGAATATATACAGAGACATTAGACTTAAACTGGACTTTGGACCAAATAGACCTGACAAACATTTACAAAACATTTTATTCAATGACTAGAGAATATACATTTTTCTCATCAGCACATGCAACATTCTCCTGGATAGACTATAAGTTAGGTAACAAAGTAAGTCCCAACAAATTTTTAAAAATTAAAATCATATCATGTATCTTCTCAGACTACAATAAAATAAAACTCAAAAGCAATACAAAGAGACACTTTAGAAAATATAGAAATACATTTAAATTAAACAACATGCTTCTGTGAAATCATTGGTTCAATGAACAAATAAAAATAAAAATAATTCTTGAAATAAATGAAGATGGAAACACGACATAATAAAAACTACTGAATACACCAAAAACAGTGCTAAAAGTAAAGTTTGTAGCAACAAATGACTACATCAAAAAAGTAGAAAAAGTTCAAACAAACAACCTAATGATGCGCCTGAAGGAATTGAAGAAAAAAAAAAAATCCAAAATTAGTAGAAGAAAAGAAACAATGAAAATAAGAGCAGAATTAAAATATAAACTAAACAGATACAAAAAATCACTAAAATAACAAATTAGTTATATGAAAACATAAAGTTGGTAAAACACTAACTAAACTTGCCAAGAAAAGACAGAAGCCAAAAATCAATAAATCAAAAGTGAAAGAGGAGACATTACAACTGATAAGACTGCGATACAAAACATCATCAGAGACTATTTTGAAGAAATATGCTGACAAACTGAAAAACCTAGAGGAAATTGATAAATTCTGAGAAGCATACAACATATCAAAATTAAATCAGGGGAAATAGAAAACATGAACAGACAATGAGTAACAAGATTGAATTAATAATAAAAATAATCTCTACAAAGAAAAGCCCAGGACTGTATGAATTCATGGCTGAATTCAACAAAATGTGTAAAGAACTCATCCCAGTTCTCCTGAATGTACACCAAAAAATTGAAGAGGTGGAAGCTCTCCCTAAATTATTCTATGAGGCCAGCATTACTCTGATACCAAAAACAGATAAGAACACAACAAAAAATGAAAACTATAGGCCAATATCTTTGATGAACAAAAACATGAAAATCCCCAACAAAATACTAGCAAACTAAATCCAGTAGCACATCAAAAAGATAAGAGACTATGACCAAGTGAGATTTAGACCACTGATACAATGAAGATTCAACATACACAAATCAATAAATGTCACATCAACAGAATTAGCAAAAAACATATGATCATTTAAACATGCAGAAAAACCATTTTATAAAATTCAACATTCCTTCATAGTAAAACCTCTCAAAAAACTAGGAATAGAATAAATATATATAATAAATATAACTCAATATAATAAAACTCATATGTGAATATCCCATAGCTAACGTACTGAATGAGGAAAAGTTAAAATCCTTTTTTAAAGATCTGGAACAAGATGATGATGCTTGCTTTCAACACTCCTGTTCAACCTAGTAGTTGAAGTTCTATCTAGAGCAAGCAGGCAAGGAAAATAAATAAAAAACATCCAAGTTAGAAAAGAGGAAGTCAAATAGTGCTTCTTTGCTGATTATATAATCTTATATCTAGAAAAAACTAAAGACTCCATTAAAAAACTTCTAGATTTGATAAATAAATTTAGTAAAGTTGCAGGATGCAAAATCAACATACAAAAATCAATAATGTTTGTGTATACCAATAATGAACTAGGTAAGAAAGAAATCGAGAAGGCAATTCTATTTACAATAGCTACAAAAAACACATTGGAATAAATTTAACCAAGGGTGTGAAATATCTCCTCAAGGAAAACTATAAAACACTGATGAAAGTAATTGAAGAGGACAATAACAAATGATAGACATCCATACTCATGGATCAGCAAAATTAATATTGTTAAAATGACCATAGTGCTCAAAGCAATTTGTGGATTAAGTGAAATCCCCATCAAAATACAAATTTTTTTTCAAAATAAGAAAAAGCAATTATAAAATTCATATGAAACCCAAAAGAGGCCCAAATATTCAAAGCAAACCTGAATAAAAAAGAATAAAGCTAGAGGCATCACACTACCTGATTTTAAAATGTATTACAAGTCTTGAGTTTCCAAAACAACGTGGTATTGGCATAACAATAGACACAGGACACAGAAATATATCCATGTATTTATGGCCAAATGATTTTCAAGAAAGGCCCCAAGAACATGCATTGGGAAAAGGACATGCTCTTCCATAAATGGTACTTGCAAAATAGATACCTATATGCAGAAAAATAAAACTGGATTTCTATCTCCCACCATATTGAAAAATCAACACAAGATGAATTAAGACTTCAATTTAAGACCAAACAATATAAAATTACTAGAAGAAAACATAGAAGAAACATGTTAGGGCATTAGTCTAGGCAAAGATTTTATGGCTAAGACCTCAAAAACATAGGCAATAGAAACAAAAATAGACAAATGGGATGATACTAAGCTAAAAAGCTTTTGTACAGCAAAGAAAACCATCAACAAAACAATTAACCTCTTGAATGGGAGAAAATATTCAAAAACAATTTGTTCAAAAAGAGACTAATATCTAGAATATACAAGAAACTCAAACAACGCAATGGTAAAATAATAATAATAATAATCCTATTGAAAAGAAGGCAAAGGGCATTAATAGATATTTTTCAAAATAAGGCATACAAATGGCCAACCGGTATATGAAAAAATGCTTAATATTACTAAGCATCAGGGAAATGCTAATCAAAACCTGATATTATCTCACACTAAGAGATATTCAGAATGTATATTATTAAAAAGACCAAAAAAAAGACAGATGCTGGCAATAATGCAAAGAAATGGGAACTTTTATACATTGTTGGGAATTTAAATTAGTACAAACACTATAGAAAAAAATTTGAAGATTTCTCACAAATTAAAAACAGAACTAGAGGCTGGGCGCGGTGACTCAAGCCTGTAGTCCCAGCAATTTGGGAGGCCAAGGAAGGTGGATCACCTGAGGTCAGGAGTGTGAGACCATCCTGGACAACATGGTGAAACTCAGTCTCTACTGAAAGTACAAAAATTAGCCAGGTGTGGTGGTGGATGCCTGTCATCCCAGTTACCTGGGAGGCTGAGGCATAAGAATCGCTTGAACCCAGGAAGCAGAAGTTTCACTAAGCCAAGATCCTGCCACTGCACTTCAGCCTGGATGACAGAGTGAGACTCTCTCTCAAAACATAAGTAAATAAATAAACAAAATAAAAAACAACAACGACGAAAAAACTAGAGCTACCACACAATTCAGCAACCCCAGTATTGGGTGTTTATACAAAGGAAAATAAATCTGTATCAAAGGGATACTTGCATTGATATGTTTATTGCAGCAGTAGTCACAATATCCAACATATGGTATCAGACAAAGTGTATATTGACAGATAAATGAATAAAGAAAATGTGATATATATACATAATGAAATAGTATTTGGCTATAGAAAAAAGTAAATTCATATTATTTGCAGCAGTATAAATGGAACTGAAGGTAATGATGTTAAGGTAATATGCCAGGCACAGAAAGATAGATAAAACATGTTCTCACTTATATATGGGAGTTTAAAAAGGTGATGTTCGCCATTCTAACTGGTGTGAGATGGTATCTCATTGTGGTTTTGATTTGCATTTCTCTTATGGCCAGTGATGATGAGCATTTTTTCATGTGTCCTTTAGCTGCATAAATGTCTTCTTTTGAGAAGTGTCTGTTCATATCATTTGCCTACTTGTTGATGGGGTTGTTTATTTTTTTCTTGTAAATTTGTTTGAGTTCTTTGTAGATTCTGGATATTAGCCCTTTGTCAGATGAGTAGATTGCAAAAATTTTCTCCCATTCTGTAGGTTGCCTGTTCACTCTGATGGTAGTTTCTTTTGCTGTGCAGAAGCTCTTTAGTTTAATTAGATCCCATTTGTCAATTTTGGCTTTTGTTGCCATTGCTTTTGGTGTTTTAGACATGAAGTCCTTGCCCATGCCTATGTCCTGAATGGTATTGCCTAGGTTTTCTTCTAGGGTTTTTATGGTTTTAGGTCTAACATTTAAGTCTTTAATCCATCTTGAATTAATTTTTGTATAAGGTGTAAGGAAGGGATCCAGTTTCAGCTTTCTACATCTGGCTAGCCAGTTTTCCCAGCACCATTTATTAAATAGGGAATCCTTTCCCCATTGCTTGTTTTTCTCAGGTTTGTCAAAGATCAGATAGTTGTAGATGTGTGGTATTATTTCTGAGGGCTCTGTTCTGTTCCATTGGTCTATATCTCTGTTTTGGTACTAGTACCATGCTGTTTTGGTTACTGTAGCCTTGTAGTATAGTTTGAAGTCAGGTAGGGTGATGCCTGCAGCTTTGTTCTTTTGGCTTAGGATTGACTTGGCAATGCGGGCTCTTTTTTGGTTCCATATGAACTTTAAAGCAGTTTTTTCCAATTCTGTGAAGAAAGTCATTGGTAGCTTGATGAGGATGGCATTGAATCTATAAATTACAATGAAATACCATCTCACACCAGTTAGAATGGCAATCATTAAAAAGTCAGGGAACAACAGGTGCTGGAGAGGATGTGGAGAAATAGGAACACTTTTACACTGTTGGTGGGACTGTAAACTAGTTCAACCATTGTGGAAGTCAGTGTGGTGATTCTTCAGGGATCTAGAACTAGAAATACCATTTGACCCAGCCATCCCATTACTGGGTATATACCCAAAGGATTATAAATCATGCTGCTATAAAGACACATGCACATGTATGTTTATTGTGGCATTATTCACAATAGCAATGACTTGGAACCAACCCAAATGTCCAACAATGATAGACTGGATTAATTAAATGTGGCACATATACACCATGAAATACTATGCAGCCATAAAAATTGATGAGTTCATGTCCTTTGTAGGGACATGGATGAAGCTGGAAACCATCATTCTCAGCAAACTATCGCAAGGACAAAAAACCAAACACCGCATGTTCTCACTCATAGGTGGGAATTGAACAATGAGAATATATGGACACAGGAAGGGGAACATCACACACCGGGGCCTGTTGTGGGGTGGAGTGAGGGGGGAGGGATAGCATTAGGAGATATACCTAATGCTAAATGACAAGTTAATGGGTGCAGCACACCAACATGGCACATGTATACATATGTAACAAACCTGCACGTTGTGCACATGTACCCTAAAACTTAAAGTATATTTAAAAAAATAAAAAATAAATAAAAAGGTGATGTCATGGAGATCAACAATAAAATAATAGATTCCAGAGGGTGAGAAGGGTCTGTGGGTATGAGGAGGGGATAAAGAGAGGCTGGTTAGTGGGTACAAATATACAGTTAAAATAAGTAAGCTCCAATATTCAATAGCAGAGTAGGGTGACTATAGTTAGCAACAATATATTGTATATTGTAAAGTAGCTATTAGAGAGGACTTGAAATAATACCAACACATAGAAATGATAAATAACCAAGGTGATGATTACCCCAAATACTCTGACTTAATTATCACACATTCTATGCATGTAAAAAATATTCACATGTATCCTATATATAACATAAAGTTTCCAATAAAGGTAAATAAATAAAAACAGTTAAAATACAATATCATGATAACTTTGGTTTGTCACACCATTTTTGAATTTTTTACAGAATTTAAAAAACAAAATACATAAATAAAGTATAAATCTATGTTAATGGCACAATATATGAAGAATTAATTTGTGAGCTAATAATATTAAGTGAGCTAATATTGTGAGTTAATAATATTTTTTTTTATTATACTCTAAGTTTTAGGGTACATGTGCACATTGTGCAGGTTAGTTACATATGTATACATGTGCCATGCTGGTGCGCTGCACCCACTAACGTGTCATCTAGCATTAGGTATATCTCCCAATGCTATCCCTCCCCCCTCCCCCGACCCCACCACAGTCCCCAGAGTGCGATATTCCCTTTCCTGTGTCCATGTGATCTCATTGTTCAATTCCCACCTATCAGTGAGAATATGCGGTGTTTGGTTTTTTGTTCTTGCGATAGGTTACTGAGAATGATGGTTTCCAATTTCATCCATGTCCATACAAAGGACATGAACTCATCATTTTTTATGGCTGTATAGTATTCCATGGTGTATATGTGCCACATTTTCTTAATCCAGTCTATCATTGTTGGACATTTGGGTTGGTTCCAAGTCTTTGCTATCGTGAATAGTGCCGCAATAAACATACGTGTGCATGTGTCTTTATAGCAGCATGATTTATAGTCCTTTGGGTATATACCCAGTAATGGGATGGCTGGGTCAAATGGTATTTCTAGTTCTAGATCCCTGAGGAATCGCCACACTGACTTCCACAATGGTTGAACTAGTTTACACTCCCACCAACAGTGTAAAAGTGTTCCTATTTCTCCACATCCTCTCCAGCACCTGTTGTTTCCTGACTTTTTAATGATTGCCATTCTAACTGGTGTGAGATGATATCTCATAGTGGTTTTGATTTGCATTTCTCTGATGGCCAGTGATGATGAGCATTTCTTCATGTGTTTTTTGGCTGCATAAATGTCTTCTTTTGAGAAGTGTCTGTTCATGTCCTTCGCCCACTTTTTGATGGGGTTGTTTGTTTTTTTCTTGTAAATTTGTTTGAGTTCATTGTAGATTCTGGATATTAGCCCTTTGTCAGATGAGTAGGTTGCGAAAATTTTCTCCCATGTTGTAGGTTGCCTGTTCACTCTGATGGTAGTTTCTTTTGCTGTGCAGAAGCTCTTTAGTTTAATTAGATCCCATTTGTCAATTTTGGCTTTTGTTGCCATTGCTTTTGGTGTTTTGGACATGAAGTCCTTGCCCACGCCTATGTCCTGAATGGTAATGCCTAGGTTTTCTTCTAGGGTTTTTATGGTTTTAGGTCTAACGTTTAAATCTTTAATCCATCTTGAATTGATTTTTGTATAAGGTGTAAGGAAGGGATCCAGTTTCAGCTTTCTACATATGGCTAGCCAGTTTTCCCAGCACCATTTATTAAATAGGGAATCCTTTCCCCATTGCTTGTTTTTCTCAGGTTTGTCAAAGATCAGATAGTTGTAGATATGCGGCATTATTTCTGAGGGCTCTGTTCTGTTCCATTGATCTATATCTCTGTTTTGGTACCAGTACCATGCTGTTTTGGTTACTGTAGCCTTGTAGTATAGTTTGAAGTCAGGTAGTGTGATGCCTCCAGCTTTGTTCTTTTGGCTTAGGATTGACTTGGTGATGCGGGCTCTTTTTTGGTTCCATATGAACTTTAAAGTAGTTTTTTCCAATTCTGTGAAGAAAGTCATTGGTAGCTTGATGGGGATGGCATTGAATCTGTAAATTACCTTGGGCAGTATGGCCATTTTCACGATATTGATTCTTCCTACCCATGAGCATGGAATGTTCTTCCATTTGTTTGTGTCCTCTTTTATTTCCTTGAGCAGTGGTTTGTAGTTCTCCTTGAAGAGGTCCTTCACATCCCTTGTAAGTTGGAGTCCTAGGTATTTTATTCTCTTTGAAGCAATTGTGAATGGGAGTTCACTCATGATTTGGCTCTCTGTTTGTCTGTTGTTGGTGTATAAGAATGCTTGTGATTTTTGTACATTGATTTTGTATCCTGAGACTTTGCTGAAGTTGCTTATCAGCTTAAGGAGATTTTGGGCTGAGACAATGGGGTTTTCTAGATAAACAATCATGTCGTCTGCAAACAGGGACAATTTGACTTCCTCTTTCCTAATTGAATACCCTTTATTTCCTTCTCCTGCCTGATTGCCCTGGCCAGAACTTCCAACACTATGTTGAATAGGAGCGGTGAGAGAGGGCATCCCTGTCTTGTGCCAGTTTTCAAAGGGAATGCTTCCAGTTTTTGCCCATTCAGTATGATATTGGCTGTGGGTTTGTCATAGATAGCTCTTATTATTTTGAAATACGTCCCATCAATACCTAATTTATTGAGAGTTTTTAGCATGAAGGGTTGTTGAATTTTGTCAAAGGCTTTTTCTGCATCTATTGAGATAATCATGTGGTTTTTGTCTTTGGCTCTGTTTATATGCTGGATTACATTTATTGATTTGCGTATATTGAACCAGCCTTGCATCCCAGGGATGAAGCCCACTTGATCATGGTGGATAAGCTTTTTGATGTGCTGCTGGATTCGGTTTGCCAGTATTTTACTGAGGATTTTTGCATCAATGTTCATCAAGGATATTGGTCTAAAATTCTCTTTTTTGGTTGTGTCTCTGCCCGGCTTTGGTATCAGAATGATGTTGGCCTCATAAAATGAGTTAGGGAGGATTCCCTCTTTTTCTATTGATTGGAATAGTTTCAGAAGGAATGGTACCAGTTCCTCCTGTACCTCTGGTAGAATTCGGCTGTGAATCCATCTGGTCCTGGACTCTTTTTGGTTGGTAAACTATTGATTATTGCCACAATTTCAGAGCCTGTTATTGGTCTATTCAGAGATTCAACTTCTTCCTGGTTTAGTCTTGGGAGAGTGTATGTGTCGAGGAATTTATCCATTTCTTCTAGATTTTCTAGTTTATTTGCGTAGAGGTGTTTGTAGTATTCTCTGATGGTAGTTTGTATTTCTGTGGGATCGGTGGTGATATCCCCTTTATCATTTTTTATTGTGTCTATTTGATTCTTCTCTCTTTTTTTCTTTATTAGTCTTGCTCGCGGTCTATCAATTTTGTTGATCCTTTCAAAAAACCAGCTCCTGGATTCATTGATTTTTTGAAGGGTTTTTTGTGTCTCTATTTCCTTCAGTTCTGCTCTGATTTTAGTTATTTCTTGCCTTCTGCTAGCTTTTGAATGTGTTTGCTCTTGCTTTTCTAGTTCTTTTAATTGTGATGTTAGGGTGTCAATTTTGGATCTTTCCTGCTTTCTCTTGTAAGCATTTAGTGCTATAAATTTCCCTCTACACACTGCTTTGAATGCGTCCCAGAGATTCTGGTATGTGGTGTCTTTGTTCTCGTTGGTTTCAAAGAACATCTTTATTTCTGTCTTCATTTCGTTATGTACCCAGTAGTCATTCAGGAGCAGGTTGTTCAGTTTCCATGTAGTTGAGCGGCTTTGAGTGAGATTCTTAATCCTGAGTTCTAGTTTGATTGCACTGTGGTCTGAGAGATAGTTTGTTATAATTTCTGTTCTTTTACATTTGCTGAGGAGAGCTTTACTTCCAACTATGTGGTCAATTTTGGAATAGGTGTGGTGTGGTGCTGAAAAAAATGTATATTCTGTTGATTTGGGGTGGAGAGTTCTGTAGATGTCTATTAGGTCTGCTTGGTGCAGAGCTGAGTTCAATTCCTGGGTATCCTTGTTGACTTTCTGTCTCGTTGATCTGTCTAATGTTGACAGTGGGGTGTTAAAGTCTCCCATTATTAATGTGTGGGAGTCTAAGTCTCTTTGTAGGTCACTCAGGACTTGCTTTATGAATCTGGGTGCTCCTGTATTGGGTGCATAAATATTTAGGATAGTTAGCTCCTCTTGTTGAATTGATCCCTTTACCATTATGTAATGGCCTTCTTTGTCTCTTTTGATCTTTGTTGGTTTAAAGTCTGTTTTATCAGAGACTAGGATTGCAACCCCTGCCTTTTTTTGTTTTCCATTGGCTTGGTAGATCTTCCTCCATCCTTTTATTTTGAGCCTATGTGTGTCTCTGCATGTGAGATGGGTTTCCTGAATACAGCACACTGATGGGTCTTGACTCTTTATCCAACTTGCCAGTCTGTGTCTTTTAATTGCAGAATTTAGTCCATTTATATTTAAAGTTAATATTGTTATGTGTGAATTTGATCCTGTCATTATGATGTTAGCTGGTGATTTTGCTCATTAGTTGATGCAGTTTCTTCCTAGTCTCGATGGTCTTTACATTTTGGCATGATTTTGCAGCGGCTGGTACCGGTTTTTCCTTTCCAGGTTTAGCGCTTCCTTCAGGAGCTCTTTTAGGGCAGGCCTGGTGGTGACAAAATCTCTCAGCATTTGCTTGTCTATAAAGTATTTTATTTCTCCTTCACTTATGAAGCTTAGTTTGGCTGGATATGAAATTCTGGGTTGAAAATTCTTTTCTTTAAGAATGTTGAATATTGGCCCCCACTCTCTTCTGGCTTGTAGGGTTTCTGCCGAGAGATCCGCTGTTAGTCTGATGGGCTTTCCTTTGAGGGTAACCCGACCTTTCTCTCTGGCTGCCCTTAACATTTTTTCCTTCATTTCAACTTTGGTGAATCTGACAATTATGTGTCTTGGAGTTGCTCTTCTCGAGGAGTATCTTTGTGGCGTTCTCTGTATTTCCTGAATCTGAACGTTGGCCTGCCTTGCTAGATTGGGGAAGTTCTCCTGGATAATATCCTGCAGAGTGTTTTCCAACTTGGTTCCATTCTCCACATCACTTTCAGGTACACCAATCAGACGTAGATTTGGTCTTTTCACATAGTCCCATATTTCTTGGAGGCTTTGCTCATTTCTTTTTATTCTTTTTTCTCTAAACTTCCCTTCTCACTTCATTTCATTCATTTCATCTTCCATTGCTGATACCCTTTCTTCCAGTTGATCGCATCGGCTCCTGAGGCTTCTGCATTCTTCACGTAGTTCTCGAGCCTTGGTTTTCAGCTCCATCAGCTCCTTTAAGCACTTCTCTGTATTGGTTATTCTAGTTATACATTCTTCTAAATTTTTTTCAAAGTTTTCAACTTCTTTGCCTTTGGTTTGAATGTCCTCCCGTAGCTCAGAGTAATTTGATCGTCTGAAGCCTTCTTCTCTCAGCTCGTCAAAGTCATTCTCCATCCAGCTTTGTTCCGTTGCTGGTGAGGAACTGCGTTCCTTTGGAGGAGGAGAGGCGCTCTGCGTTTTAGAGTTTCCAGTTTTTCTGTTCTGTTTTTTCCCCATCTTTGTGGTTTTTATCTACTTTTGGTCTTTGATGATGGTGATGTACAGATGGGTTTTCGGTGTAGATGTCCTTTCTGGTTGTTAGTTTTCCTTCTAACAGACAGGACCCTCAGCTGCAGGTCTGTTGGAATACCCTGCCGTGTGAGGTGTCAGTGTGCCTCCCAGTTAGGCTGCTCGGGGGTCAGGGGTCAGGGACCCACTTGAGGAGGCAGTCTGCCTGTTCTCAGATCTCCAGCTGCGTGCTGGGAGAACCACTGCTCTCTTCAAAGCTGTCAGACAGGGACACTTAAGTCTGCAGAGGTTACTGTTGTCTTTTTGTTTGTCTGTGCCCTGCCCCCAGAGGTGGAGCCTACAGAGGCAGGCAGGCCTCCTTGAGCTGTGGTGGGCTCCACCCAGTTCGAGCTTCCCCGGCTGCTTTGTTTACCTAAGCAAGCCTGGGCAATGGCGGGCGCCCCTCCCCCAGCCTCGTTGCCACCTTGCAGTTTGATCTCAGACTGCTGTGCTAGCAATCAGCGAGATTCCGTGGGCGTAGGACCCTCTGAGCCAGGTGTGGGATATAGTCTCGTGGTGCGCCGTTTCTTAAGCCGGTCTGAAAAGCACAATATTCGGGTGGGAGTGACCCGATTTTCCAGGTGCGTCCGTCACCCCTTTCTTTGACTCGGAAAGGGAACTCCCTGACCCCTTGCGCTTCCCAGGTGAGGCAATGCCTCGCCCTGCTTCGGCTCGCGCACGGTGCGCACACACACTGGCCTGCGCCCACTGTCTGGCACTCCCTAGTGAGATGAACCCGGTACCTCAGATGGAAATGCAGAAATCACCCGTCTTCTGCGTCGCTCACGCTGGGAGCTGTAGACCGGAGCTGTTCCTATTCGGCCATCTTGGCTCCTCCTCCTGAGTTAATAATATTAAGGGGGTCAGAGCTGCAGAAGAAATAGACTTTTTGATTGAGATTGCAGTTAAGTTGGTATCAATTTACCATCAAATGTCATAAATATACATATACATAACATAAAAAAGTATGTTATATGTAATCCCCATGGTAAGTGCAAAGAAAATATCTATAGAATATACGCAAAAGAAGAGGAAAAGAGAGTCACATTCTTGCATTACTAAAAAGCAACTAAACATAAAGGGCAGTAATGGAGAAAATGAGGAAAAATCATTATAAAATGCACAGAAAACAGAAATGAAAATGGCAAAAGTGAGTGCTTACCTATCAATAATTACTTATTTTATTTATCTCTCGTTTTATTTTATTTTTTGAGACTGAGTCTCACTCTGTTGCCCCAGGCTTGAGTGCAGTGGTGCGATCTCGGCTCACTGCAACCTCCGTCTTCCAGGTTCAAGTGATTCTCCTGCCTCAGCCTTCTGAGTAGCTGGAATTACAGGTGCCTGCCACCACACCCAGCTAATTTTTGTATTTTTAGTAGAGATGGGGTTTCATCATGTTGGCCAGGCTAGTCTCGAACTCCTAATCTCAGGTGATCCACCTGCCTCGGCTTTCCAAAGAAAGTGCTGGGATTACAGACATGAGCCACCACACATGGCCAGTAATTACTTCTAATGCATAAGAATTAAACACTCCAATAAAAATATATGAATTGGATGAATGGATACAAAAACAAGATGCTACTATACATTGTCTGCAAAACACTCACTTTCATTCTAAGAACATGCATAAGTTGAAAGACAATTGGTAAAAAAAAAAAAAAAAAAAAAGCAGAAAGCAGTAGACCAAGAGCAGCAACTTCCAACCCAGTTTATCTTTTAACAGTGATATGGGGGCAAGGGACCTTATAGGAAACCTTGTCATGAGGCTGTCCAATCCTGGAATACTGGACCCATCTCTCAATAAATGTTAAAGTTTCCAAAATTTTAGTAAGTCGAGGAGAAAAGGGATTTAAAAGTACTCACATTCTGTATTTCTATTTCCATAAAGTGGAAGCATTTTCCTCTTTATGAAACAACATAGAGTTGTTTAATTTACTTTGGAAACACTGTATTGGCAATACATTTTTGTTTACGCTAAGCAGCATAATAAGAAAAAGTGAATCCTTCACGTAAGTTAGGCTTTGAGAAAGCTGTTTTTATGACTGAGAGGCAACCAAGATACTTTCCTTTGCACTAAGTTTTGGTCTGCTTAGTGAAATCAAACCTTATCACTATAAAGATTTTTAGTGATGCCAAAAGCTAAACCAGTAGAATGCCCATGTGGCTATAACCAAATAGTTTTTCCTGCTTAGAGATGAACAGATTTCCAAATAGTAGATATTATATACATATGATCAAAAACACTAGCAAGCAAATTGTCTATGTAACCTAGTGATTCTGTGATCTCTCAACCACATACCTTTAAAACTCACTGTCATTTCATAAGTGATATGTTGATTAAAAAAGAGATTATTCAAATGTATGGTTGGAAATTGTGCTATCTTCTAGCACCATAGTTGCATTTTCAGAGAAAATAGCATGAAAAAGCTATTGATTATTTTTTACATGGAATGACAAAGCACCTTTGATAAGTAATTGGGGAGCAATAGAATTTAACAGGTTTTAATTTCTTGTGCAAATGAAAGACAATAAAGAGGGCTCTTGAAAGCAAATTAAGCCATATATAGGTCAATCATCCTATTAGGACTCTTCAGGGAACACATACCTAATTTGCATAATTGTATTTTTATAGCTGCCAGACTAGCTGCTGTGCTGATACATGTACTTGGTGAGTTTAAAAAACAAAAAGATTGTCTTTCTTATTCTAATGGTTAATGAGTAAGTGGGTAACAGTGTGTGTGTGTGTGTGTGTGTGTGTGTGTGTGTGTGTGTGTAACTAAAAAATATCCAGATATATATATTTCTAAAACAACTACTATTATTATATGACAAGTCTCTTTAGAAATTAAGATATGATTTACTAAACTTAAACATCCATTGAACATTACATAATAATCTATCTCCCTAGTATTTATATAAGCTTGTCCAAAAATATCACCCATTATAAAACTTGGACTAAACTTCTCATCATTTATAAGACAAAACCATATTTTATTAGCTAACATATTAAATGTATTTGCTATTGATTCAAATTGTATCAACTTCAGTCCAGGTTATGCCATGGTAGTCAGATATTAAAAACTGAAAATTTTACATGTTTTTGATGAATTACTGTGAGAATGCAAGATATCACTTGATAAATACAAATTATTGCAGAATAAATATTCATGGAGCTCATGAGAATAGGAAAGTTAGAGGGTTTTAAGAGTCTGATCAATGATCACCAGAGACCTCTTAACGGTCCATTCTTAGTGCTATTATTATAACTATTCTAGATGTTCTTATTGTAGGACAAAAAAAAACAACTATTCATAAATAAAAATTCCTCAAATTGATTCAAAAGTCATGAACTTCATGATTTTCTATGAAACTACTTGGTATATTGCTTGCCAGAATTCCATAATTTGCAATTTACTTATTTGAGTGCAGTTACAGCTTAATGATCCATGTGAGTGGAGTTAAATTGTGCAGGCTTCCCATAGACTAAATAATCTAAGAAGTGCATTTATTTATAATGTATTACAGACTGAGCTCATTTTATGCATTGAATACATTTCTATTTTTTTATAAATGAAATGATCACTTATTCACCAAGTCAGGAACTTCCTTCTGAATTCTATTATAATTTTGGAGCTGGGTCCCATAAAATAGAATACGTAACACTAGGCCTGCCTACCTTACAGGATTGTTGAAAAATATAAAATGCTAAAAATAAATGCTATAAACTGAAAGTTTGTGTTTCCGCAAAATTCATATGTTGAAATCCTAATACCGTATGTGATAGTATTATGAGATGGGGCCTTTGGGAGGTGTTTAGGTCCTGAGGGTGGATCTCTCATGAATAGAATTAGTGTTCTGATAGTAGAGGCTCCAGAGAGCTCATTAGTCCCTTCTGCCATGTGAGGACACAACAAAATGACAGCTGTCTCTCAACCAGGAAGTGGGCCCTCACCAGACACTGATTCTGTTAGCACCTTCATCTAGGACTTCTCAGCATTCAGAACTGCAAGAAATAAATTTTGGTTGTTTATAAGTCACCCAGTCTATAGTGATTTGTTCCAACAGCCTGAACAAAGACAAGATAAAATTACAAATGTTAATGATAAAATCAGGGATCAGGGAAATTCTGGTTCCATAGATTAAGTTAGGAAGTGTTTTTTTTCTCTCCACATTCTTGAAAGAGTTTGAGAAGTGTTGGTTTTAACTTTTCTTTAAACATTTGATGGAACTCACTAGTTTAACTATCTGATCCTGGATTTTTATTTGTTGAGAAGTTTTTCAGTATATTAAATGAAGTATTTCATTTCAAAATAATAAACCTCTCAATATATAAATGATTAGTCACAATAACACTAGAAGTAAGGAAGTTATAAAGTGCTTGCATCCATAAATAGAATCACCATGAATATGACAGCTAGGAATGCAGACTGATGTAAGTATATTGTATTGACAACTCAAATATCACAAGTAGCATTTCCTTCAGTGATGTGATTCTCTAAATTAGTGAACAACTCTTGGTAAGAGTGAATACATAAACCATAGGGGTTTATTATCGTTATCATTTATTATGTACTGCATATAATCATATGTGCTGCCCTTTTATATGAATGACAGTGCAACAGGTTCATTTACATGAGAATCACCACAAACCCATGTCTAAAATGTTGCCCTGATTTTCTAATTGCCAATTAGATGCATCCAATTAGAAAATCAGTTATGCATTCTAACTGATTTAGCTGGAGCACTGTCTAATCTCCAGCGAAAACTGAATGAGCATGCCAATGAGAAATCTTGCCACTCCACAGTGTTTAACCAGTGCTTTCAAAGCAGACAATTGGCCGGGCGCGGTGGCTCATACCTGTAATCCCAGCACTTTGGGAGGACGAGGCGGGCGGATCACCTGAGGTCGGGAGTTCGAGACCAGCCTGACCAACATGGAGAAACCCCGTCTCTACTAAAAATACAAAATTAGCCGGGCGTGGTGGCACATGCCAGTAATCCTAGCTACTCAGGAGGCTGAGGCAAGAGAA
The DNA here is from genome assembly GCF_000001405.40 of Homo sapiens. Classification (NCBI taxonomy): domain Eukaryota; kingdom Metazoa; phylum Chordata; class Mammalia; order Primates; family Hominidae; genus Homo; species Homo sapiens. Next base: position 87,817,218 of record NC_000023.11, on the reverse strand, counting down.
TTGCTTAAACCTGGGAGGAGGAGGATGGGGTGAGCCGAGATCATGCCATTGCACTCCAGCCTGGGCAACAAGAGCGAATCTCCGTCTCAAAAAAAAAAAAAAAAAAAAAAGCAGACATTTATCTAAGTATTAATTACATTTTTTGCCTCCATGACTAGCCATTAAGCCTCATATCTGATGGTTTCTCTTATGACTAGGCCAACAGAGAGACGAAGAGCATCTCTTTCTCTAATTAATTTATTTAGCTTCTTTTGGAAAAAGTGCAAGCAAAAGAATAAAAAAAACACTCATGATGCATCCAAAGATTCAAAGGAGCCAGAATCCTCCAGATAGATCAATTGTTTTTCAGTACTTTTCCCTTTTGAATGAAAAGCAATTGTGTTGTTAAAAGAAAATGTATTCAAAACTATGACCAAGACTTTGAAGTTAAGCTAAGTTCATACATAAAATGAGCTAATTTTTATTGAATTAGCTCTGGGTCTGAATTTTATTTTAATCACCAAATTTAGGAAAATAAAAATAGGAGGTAATCAGTGTAAAAAAAATCAACTATCAGCAATTCAGTATATGTATATATATATATTTTTTATAAAGATAAATCAACTATTCAGTAAAGTTATCTATACTGCTATATTCAATATACATTTATACTGTATAGATTAAGTATAGATTCAGTCTATTCTGTATAGATATCTATTCCGTATAGATATCTATTCAGTATAGATATCTATATACTATACATGTATACAGATATCTATATTGAATAGTTGATTTATCTTTATAAATATATATACATACACTGAATAGTTTATAATTTGATATTTAAGAGATGTTTTTGTAGTCATGTAGTTAAGGTAAATATTTTAGACATGTGTACCAATAGACTATATAGTGTTGTGTTTGATTTCAAGTGAAAATGAAAATGTTCTCAGATTCAATGGACAGGTTGCAGCTGCATTTTAAAAATCCAAATTATACTGTTATTTGTATATATATCAAGTCAGTTGGAATGACTTTTGGTGTCAGGATCACATTAGTTCTCCCCAGCATCGAAGCTCAATTTGCAATTAGGAAACCACAACTTTCCACTCTGTCTTTTCTTTTTTATTATTTGTCCATGGGCACACAAAATAAGTGTAGAGCTCTGTCATATATTTCTCTGGTCTCAGCTCCTAACATGACCCCGATCTTCACTCCCAACCACAGTTCCAGTCAATTTAGCACTAATCAGCAGCACTTAATTCTGGCAAGCTTTAAAAACTAGGAAAAGACCTTTGAAGTTCCCATTCTACTGTATGTTAGTCAGATTTACTTTACCACAGAATTAAATAAGATTCCTAAAGAAGTCTATTTTGAAATTTTTTTCTTATTTCTTTGAATATTACTACCGTACTTTAAATATGCGAACCATAGCCCCATTAAAAAATAATTTCACTGTAATATATTTTCTCAACAATAACTCTTTAATAATACCTTGTATAAATCAGATTGGGAGTTTGTATACCATTGGATCTGGACTTAAGATGCACTCAATTAGTCTACTTGATAGCAAATTGTTAAAGTGTGTATGTGTGAGTATGTACATCTGTAGAGAAAGGCATGAGAAGGAGACAAAATATACAAATGTCATGAAAAAAACTTATTTTGCAAGCATTTATATATGCAATTCCAATGCCGTTTAAATTATTTTTCTTGTTAAGAAAAGAATTTGAGGCCAAGTAGGGTTGCTTATGCCTATAACCTCACCACTTTGGGATGCTGAGGTGGGAGGACTGCTTGAGGTCAGCAGTTCAAGTCCAACTTGGGCAACATAGTGAGACATCATCCCTAACAACAGCAACAAAAATTTAGCAATTCGCTGATCATGGTAGCACATGCCTATAGGGAGGCTGAAGAAGAGGTAATCGCTTGAGCCCAGGAACTCGAGGCTGCAGTGAGCTATGATCCCATTACTACATTCTAGCCTGGGTGATAGAACGAGATCCTATCTCAATTAAAAAAAAAAAAAAAAAAAAAAAAAAGAAAAGAAAAAAGAAGAAAAGGTGGTTAGGGGTGAAGCCATGCACATACAATGGATAATGTACAATTGTTAAGATGAATGAGTAGAAAAGTAATGACACAGAAAGATATTTATAATATATTAAATGAACAGGGGTTAAAAAATAGAAAGTATATTTATAATATAAAAAATAGTATATTTATAATATATTAAATGAACAGGGGTTAAAAATAGAAAGTATATTATTGATATTATTGTACCATTTTTACTAAAATATGGGCATATAAATAGATAAAAAATTTAACCAGAAGGAAATACATTAAATATTAACAGTAGTTTTCTCTGGGTTATTTTTTCTTTTTTGCTTCTCTACATTTTCTTCTAATATGAAAAACTTTGCAGTAATAAGATATGAAAGTTATGTTAAAAACATGATTACATAAAAATGTAGGAATATAAGGACAGAATAAAATTTTAAATTTCTTAACTTAAAAATAATCACCCGTTAAAATGTTGGGGCAGTTCCAGCCAGGCATTCTATTCTCTGGACTTTTTTCTTTATTGAGCTCATACTTTCTTTTGAAGTTTTCTCAATGTCTTCTCTATTACAGCTGGTCTAAGTTTATCACTGGCTTAGATTAAACTAGCACGTAATAAGGTATCATCATGCTCATAAAAACAGAGAACTACGTACACAGCTTCTGTAAGCAGAAGACAGCTTTTATGCTATGATACTCCCTCCCCCAAATTGCACATTATCTTTCCTACCCCATTCTATCAAGAATGCTACTTAGGTAGTCATTTTGCTTTCCGCCTTGTACAGAACAGTGCTTATTAGAGCTATTTGGTAATAATTACTAGTTATTAAAGTACTCAAATATTTCTGAATTGACTGTATTGATCCACTCACTGCAACCTCCGCCTCCTGGGTTCAACCAATTCTCCCGTCTCAATCTCCCGAGTAGCTGGGACTACAGGCGCATGCTGCCACATCCGGCTAATTTCTTTTGTATTTTAGTAGAGATGGGGTTTCACCATGTTGCCCAGGCTGGTCTCGAACGCCTGAGCTCAGGCAATCTGCCTGACTTGGCTTCCCAAAGTGCTAGGATTACAGGCAGTGAGCCACCACCCCCGGCCCTAACTGTATTTTTAAATGGATGGAACTCGTAAGCTTTTCAATTTGTTTTATGCTTCTTTAATTCTTTTTTCATTACTGATATTTCTTCATTTCATCACTCCTCACATTTTTGTCATACCTTTTAAATGATTGGTACTTATTTTAAAAAGAATTGTCTATCACGGATCAGTGAAGACTGGCATTTATCTCATGTTTTCAAGAAGCTAGCATCTGCCCACTCGCCCTAAATGATTAGTTCTTTCTAATCCTGCAGTTAGGAGTGTACAATACTTCTCTCTCTCCCCCCCAGCTTCTGTGGACACAGCAGCTGTCTCTCAGTCACCTCTTCTCCTTTCTGCTGCTGGTCCATCACACATGCTGCTTGCGGCTTGGAATGTTATTCACCTCCCACTGCTTTTCACCTATTTTACTCATACTTAGCTATTTGCTCTCGGCTAAATCTCAGTTCATCCCCAGGGAACCCATACCTTACTCCTTATACACATACCCCATAGGTTAAATTCTATTCTCTCACACAGTTTATAGCACAGTGATCTTCTTAGGATCTTCTGCAGGGTTAATTTGATATTAAGTGTATGTATAACTTGCTTAATGTTCACTTTCCTCACTAGATTGTATACAACCTGGCAGAAGGGAACCATGCTTAATATAGGCTTTGACTCATTATGTAACCTCTCTTCCCCTCATTAGCATATAGTAGGAAATTAATATATTTGTTGAGTGCCCAGATGAATGAATAAAAAACTAACAAAAGCACTTAAAGCCTTCATATTATCATCAAGTGATACTGGAAGACTCAAACTATACATGGTTAACAGTATGACAAAAGAACACTTATGTTGGGATATGTGGGTTCAAGCCTGGCTCTGCCTTCAACTCACCTTGTGATCTTGAGTTAAGTAGCTTTACCTTTCTTTATTTTTCCTATTTGTAAAATGGTGGGGTTTTATCCAATGAACTTTAATGACTTTACAGTTTTAAGATTCTATGCTTCCATGAAAAATAGGAAGGGGAAAAACATGGAATAAGAATTGTGGTTCCAGAAAGGAAGGAGGGATGATGAAAAATGACAAGTACATTCGATTGTGACAAGGCCCATGTAGATTTCATGTCCTGTAAACAGACTACTGTGGGGCAGAGATGGTAGGTTAAAAATACTTCCCAAAATTAAGCAGAATGACCCATATCAAAATACTTTGGGTATTCTCCACATGAATATCCTCTACAAAAGACAGCAGTAAACTGAATGTCTTACTCTCTCCTGAGATTAACATATCATTCAATAATGAGTTTGTTATTTAATAGCTGTATGTGCAGTTGAATCCAGAATGTTTAAACTCTAGATTCCATGATAATGGAGTAGGAATAACTTCGTTTGTGTGTGATTCCATTTTGTTCTTCCTTAGTTGAATTTTCCAAATACAAAACTACACATTTAAATATAAGCTGAAAAAATTCAGTTGCAGATAATTCTAACATAAAATCAATATACCTTTTCTCTGTAATGGGGCCATACTGTTCTTTGATGTGAGAAAAATATATATATTCATATAACCTTCCTCATTTTATTTACATCTGTGATAATCACTTCTTTCATGTACCAGGAACAACTGGCTACCATTGCCAATATGTTGCAAGTAACTCTCTCTTCTCTTACAACTTTTGGCAAGCTATTTTAAGTGAAATGGCAGAGCCTGGCCTTGGACACTCATGTTTTTTTCTATGAGATTTTTTCCTTTGTGCTTCTTTCTCCCACCTTCAAAGTTTTACTGCATTGAATATTAAAGTGGTTATTATTTAATTACCAGTTTTACTCTGTTACCATGTCTGTTTCAACCTCCCTTTCAATTAAAAGATGAATGAAACATTTTAATTTTTAATAAAAAGTGGAAATTATGCTTTTTTAGAAGCTGCTCAAGTACTCATTAAAGCTAGAATTGTTCCAGCAAGTTCAAATTACATATTTGTTCAATGTAAATAATTCCTAGGCTTTTTGAGTGCACAGTATATAATGTGTATTATCTTCAACAGCCAACCTTATTTACATGCTATTGGTGCTTCATAATATCATTTTAATAAGAGGTACTTCAAAAAGTTTATAAGGCCTTAGTGTGACCAAACTATACAATAACAAAATAATAAAAGCTCATCTGAAGATATTTAGGGGGATTTCTCTATAATAGATACAATTTATTGAGTGTTTACTATGTGCCCAGCACCATGCCAAACACTTTACTTGCATTATCTTACTTCCCTTCATAACCACAAGTTCTATAATCATCCTCACTTTACAAAGAAAAAAAAAACAGAAAATCATGAAGATTAAATAACTCACAGAAGGCTACACAGCTAGTAAACAATAATGCTTGGATTCCAACCTAGGTTCATCTCAAGCTCCCTTTAGCCGTAATGCTTTGCTGACCCACTATCCAATTTTAGGCTAGATAATTGCTGAAGTCAGGGTTGGTCTTCAGTAAAGCAGCCTGTACTGGAGATTATTTAAAACTGTTTTGTAATTGCCAAGAATGATGGTCCACATGAGTAGAATTAACTTTCTATGGTTCGATAGAATCTATAGAATCAGTATTAGCATCCCTTTCAGTAAAACTTCTGGGTGATCATTTGCACTTCTGACTGGATTTAAATTAAAGATCAGCAAACCCCTTCATAGCATTAGTTTTACTTATAGCTCACATTTCAAACATCATTATGGCTTACCACTTTATAATCAATGTATTTAAAAAATGTCAGATTGCCTTCAGTTAAGAACTGAACACGTAGATGAGTCTCGTCTCTATAGATTCACCAAATGCATGTTACAGAATGGGCACAAAAAAGTAGTCTATAGCATTAAAGAACATGTCAGGGACACAGTCTTAATTAAACTTAAATTAGGAAAGACATTATTTGTTTATTGCCAAAGAAACCAAGCTCTTTTTTCAGAAACATCAAATTATAATTTTTTTTTTTTTGAGATGGAGGCTCGCTCTGTCGCCCAGGCTGGAGTGCAGTGGCGCCATCTCGCCTCACTGCAAGCTCCGCCTCCCTGGTTCACGCCATTCTCCTGCCTCAGCCTCCCGAGTAGTTGGGGCTACAGGCTCCCGCCACAATGCCTGGATAATTTTTTTGTATTTTTAGTAGAGACGGGGTTTCACTGTTTTAGCCAGAATGGTCTCGATCTCCTGACCTCGTGATCCACCCACCTCGGCCTCCCAAAGTGCTGGGGTTACAGGCGTGAGCCACCACGTCCGGCCTAAAAATTTTTATACATATGATAATAGTATTTCAAACATTCAGTTTCAGGGACTATCTAATGGCATTTCTATACATGTCTGATTCAAACAATGAATTTTAAAACACCAAGGAGGGAAGTCAGTATTGCCATTTTCTACAACACTACACAGGACAGAAATTTCTTTTAACCTTGGCAATGCTAAGAAACATGATGTGAGGCAGTCAAGAATACTATGTTGGAGAGATTTCAGAGTTCTCATCCTCTCCTTCTCCAATGCATTTATACTTCGGTTTCCTGCAAATGCCTCAAACTCAGTATTTCTAAATGAAGATTCAGCAGTTTCCTTTGCAGTTCAGTTCTAGACAGTTGGAAAGATGCTGGATTACCTAGTCAGAATCACTTGACATTGAAAAGCACGTGGAATAAATATTGGGTATTAGCCACATGATAGCACAGCAGAAATATATAGTGACAACCATTTATTCAACAGCCACTCTGTATGTGGAGTTTTGCATTGGAGACTCCTAGATAAGCAAGATTTGACCCCTGTTCTGAAGGAGTTCACAATTAGTAGGAGAGAAAGATAGGTTAATAAATAGTCACAATGTGACAGATGATATAAATACAGGTTTGTATAAATTCCTATGAGACCGTCTGTAAACTGAGGTCTGAGTTTCCTTATTTTTGACTTCAATGTTCCTTCAAGGATTCAAGTCGAGCCCTGAACCACAACTTACTTGTTTGGGTCTTGAGTGCTTCTTCGGTCCCCAGGGTCTGTACTACCTCCTAGCCCCAAGCCTTGGCTCTTGATCTATGGTGCACATTCAAAAACACAGCATTGAAAATAATGATTCTAACATAAAAAGGAAATGCTATTTAAAATAGCAATTTAAAAGTTCCTAGAAGTAAACTACATTTACAAAATACACAGAACCAAAACACTGAAGCAAAATTTAAAATATTACTGACTCTGTCACTGTGGAAATACCAGACTGGCTCTTTAGGCGTGAAGAAGGTCAGCTGACCCAGACCTAACCCTGGGCCCTAAGGAAATTTACCAAGGTTATCAGCTAAACTCTGAGGCTGAATCAAGTATCTCTGAGTTCTCTGAACAAGTTGAAAGCGTACTAATCAGGATGACTGGTTTGAATTTACAGTCGATTTTAAATCTAGCTGTTAAAGAACTGAAACCATGAATCCATACGCCAATGACGCAGGCATAGTTGGAAAAGGCTACAAAACAGTACGTAAGCCATAAAAGAATAAAACGTCTAAACATGTGTATGTATACACACCCCCAACACACACACACACACCGTAAAAAAACCCACACACACTGGGGATATCTTGCTGTGATCAGAGAACAAAGTGGCATGCAACCAAGACCTCATAGGAAGAGGAGAAAAGGATGATACACATTTATTTCTAAATCGAGGATCCTAAAACTTTCCACTATTGATATTCAAAGAGAAAAATTATAAGACCGTGTACAGCCAGCTATCCTCCACTCTGCATTGTTCTGTCTGAACCAGATTCTGCCGAGTATATCAAGCTCTATTGGCAAATTTATAAAGATACTAGCATGGTAAATAGGGCCTTTCATTGTAAAATAGTGAGAGGTGACAGCGTGCTGGCAGTCCTCACAGCCCTCGCTCACTCTCCGCACCTCCTCTGCCTGGGCTCCCACTTTGGCGGCACGTGAAGAGCCCTTCAGCCCGCCGCTGCACTGTGGGAGCCCCTTTCTGGGCCGGAGCCGGCTCCCTCAGCTTGCGGGGAGGTGTGGAGGGAGAGGCCCGGCGGGAACCGGTGCTGCGCACGGTGCTTGCGGGCCAGTGCGAGTACCGAGTGGGTGTGGGTTCGGGGGCCCCACACTCGGAGCGGCCTTGGGGCCCGCCAGCCCCGCCGGCCCCACCGGCCCCAGGCATTGAGGGGCTTAGCACCTAGGCCAGCAGCTGCTGTGCTCATTTTCTCAACGGGCCTTAGCTGCCTTCCTGCGGGGCAGGGCTCCGGACGTGCAGCCTGCCATGCCTGAGCCTCCGGCCCTCCCCTCTCCACGTCCGTGGGCTCCTGTGCCTCCCGAGCCTCCCCCACAAGCACGGCCCCCTACTCCATGGTGCCCAGTCCCATTGACCACCCAAGGGCTGAGAAGTTAGGGTGCAGGGCGCAGGACTGGCAGGCAGCTCCACCTATGGCCCAGGTGTGGGATCCACTAGGTGAAGCCAGCTGGGCTCCTGACTCTGGTGGGGACCTGGAGAACCTTTATGTCTAGCTAGGGGATTGTAAATACACCAATCGGCATTCTGTATCTAGCTCAAGGTTTGTAAACACACCAATCAGCACCCTGTGTCTAGCTCAGGGTTTGTGAATGCACCAATCGACACTCTGTATCTAGCTACTCTGGTGGGGACTTGGAGAACCTTTGTGTCCACACTCTGTATGTAGCTAATCTAGTGGGGAGGTGGAGAACCTTTGTGTCTGGCTCAGGGATTGTAAATACACCAATCAGCACCCTGTCAAAACAGACCACTCAGCTCTCTGTAAAATGGACCAATCAGCAGGATGTGGGTGGGGCCAGATAAGAGAATAAAAGCAGGCTGCCGAGCTAGCAGTGGCGACCCACTCCAGTCCCCTTCCATGCTGTGGAAGCTTTGTTCTTTCGCTCTTTGTAATAAATCCTGCTGCTGCTCACTCTTTGGGTCCACACTGCCTTTATGAGCTGTAACACTCACCGCGAAGGTCTGCAGCTTCACTCATGAAGCCAACGAGACCACGAACCCACCGGGAGAAATGAACAACTCCAGACACGCCGCTTTAAGAGCTGTAACACTCACCGCGAAGGTCTGCAGCTTCACTCCTGAGCCAGCGAGACCACGAACCCCACCAGAAGGAAGAAACTCCGAACACATCCGAACATCAGAAGGAACAAACTCCAGACACGTCGCCTTTAAGAACTGTAACACTCACCGCGAGGGTCCACGGCTTCATTCTTGAAGTCAGTGAGACGAAGAACCCACCAGTTCTGGACACAATAGGACAATTCTGTAGAATAGCGTGAGACTTTGTAATTACGGAAAAGATTAATGGATGATTTTCTGGATGACTATATTCACCGACATTTAGATATTTAGTGGATTACTACCAGTTTGATTCAGCTCTGTCACATGCTTTGTTAGATAACCAGTCAGCTCAAGAGCTCAAAGCTCAGGCTAGTATAATATGACAATTTTGTAAAAACAGAAGCATAGAAAAAGACGTGTACAAAATCAATGCTTCAGGAAGTATTTGATAGTCATTCTTCAGTTTTGTTGAAAATTTCAGAAATAAATTTTATTTTTTACCAATTATGTTGAAAACACAGAAGTAAATAAAAGAAGCCTTAATAAAAAGAAAAGAAATACTGTACTTAGTTTTTGGAGGAAGATTCAATAATATAAAGAATATAATTATCTGCATAAATTCAACATGTTAATTCACGTGGAGAAAATAAATATATAATAGGCAGAAATAGTCTAGAAAAGAAAATAATGGAGATGGAGAGTAATAGGAACTACTAGGTATTAAAGCATCTAATAAAGCTAAGGTATTAGAATATATTGGAATAGACACATTAATAGATAGACCAATAGATTATGAAAGAGAGACCAGCTATTTATCCAAATACATCCAGAAATTAAAGCTGATAAGTTGACTTTTCAGATAAAAGAGAGATGTATTATTTAACACATAATTCCTTAAATAAGTCAAAGATACATCTTAAAATAAATAGTTTCAGTGCTAGGAGAAAGCATAGGATAGGTTTTCTTAGAAATTCTAGAGGTGGAAAAGAATTGCCTCAGCTAAATACAAAATAGAAACCCAGAAGACATTAAACAATACATTGTAGTTGACTACGTAAAAATAAAAATAAAGTAATACATACAAACCATATCATAAACCAAGTCAAAACATAAATGTCAAAATGGGAAAAATATTTGCAACACATATGACAGTCAAAAAGTTGATTTTTAAAATATATAAATAACTCCTAGAAATCAATAAGATGGCCTCTTCTGGGGATGCTGTCTAGAGGCTTTCAGAATGGTCCAGCACTTGATAGACCATCACAGACCTTCCTACAATAAATAGAGCCTCTAACAAAACTAGGCTTTCCTAGACCAATGGTAATAGAATTTTTTATTTTTATACAGGAAGGTTGAGAAAGCACCAAAATCTGCCTGTGGCATGTGCCCAGGCTGACTTTGAAGGGTTCAATCTGTGAGTCCTAAAATTCTTATGATGTTGTCTAAAATAAACAAACAAAAACGTCAGCAGGGCCTATGGTGGTTCTATGCATGGTAAATGTGTTTGTGACAGGATTAAACATGCTTTTTTTTTTTTTTTTTTAAATCAAGGAGCAGGCAATCATGGTAAGTGTTGAAGACTAAATTCTGACCTTTTCTCAAAATTTCTTTCTAAGGGGCTTGGAGAGAATCATGTCTGCAGACCATCAATCATGCTAAACAGGTCACTTTGACTCAGAAACTTTTGGCTTGCTCTCACAACCTGACTCCCGCATAGCATCACATGGTAATTAACAGGCTTCCTTATCTTAACTTAAGCATTCCTTTCTGCTTACTCCATGTTTTTAGACAAAGCTTTTTTCCTTTAAACAATTGCAAATTAAAAAATCTCGGAACCCACCTATGACCTGTAAATCCCCACTTTAAGGTATCCTTCCTTTTTGGCCAAACCAATGTATAATCACCGTGTATTGACTTTTGACTTTGCCTGTAACTCTGCTTCCCTAAAATAGACTTGCAGTCTGACTACCTCGGGAACACTTTATCAGTATTTCTTGAGATTGTGTTTTCCTTGGCTGCATTCACCCGTATTAGCTAAGAATAACCTTTTAAAAATATTTTAGAGAGTTTAATTCTTTTCCATTGACAGTGTTAAAGGTACAAGCACAGAGTCAATAAACAACATTTAAAAATAACACTTTTTTGAGTAGTAAACATTGAAAGACTTTCAAAAGATCAATAAGATAGAAACATAAAACTTAAAAAGAAAACAGGAAAAGGCATAAATAAGCAGTTAGTAGCAATAACTACAAACTAAAAAATTGCTATAAACGTAAAAGTATGTTCATTATCACTCATAATTTTAAAAATGAAAATAAACTTTTGGAGGTATAATGATAAATTTTGTTAGGCAATATTTGAAAGAAATATATTTCTTATGCATTTTTATTGCCTGTCAACATTAATAAAAACTTTATGGTGCACAATTTGGGAAGACTTATCAAAATATTAAATGCATATGATTTGACCTAGTAATTACACTTTTCAAAATATATCTTACAGCTATATTCACAAATGGGCACAGGATATATGACCACTGATTTTCATTGCAGTATTGTCTATAACAGAAAACAAACATAATATTAATTAAATAATATATGGCATCCATATAATGGAATAACATACTTAACAAATATTTAAAGCACATCTGCTATGCACTAAGCACTATTTCAGAAACTAAAGACAAAACAGTGAACAAGATAGATGGAGTACCTGTTTTCATGAAGGTTGCCTTCTATTTGGATGGTGAGAAAACAGACAAGTAAACAGATACACAAGATTATTTCAGATAGGCAAAAGTTGAGGAAAATTAAACAGGTGCTATGATGAACATGTGGCTACTTAATATTGGATGAACAGATGGAAGATCTCAGAAAAGGGAAAATTGCACAGTAAACTAAATAAAGTGAGAACTCAAGCCATGGGGAGTTACGTGGAGGGAATCTGGGAGAAAGAACGTTTCATACAAAGTGCAGACACAACCAATATAAAGAACAAACTAATGAATCTAGGTGTACTGATATTTAAAGAGATTCAAGGCACCCTGTCAAGTGATAAAAGTAAAGTATGAAATAGTGTGTATAGTATACTTCTGTGAGGATAGAAAAAAGAAGAAAAAAATACTATTTTTCTAAGATGAAATCTGAAATGATTCAGAATAAACTGACAGCAATTGTTGCTTGTGGCAGAGAGAGAGCTGGGAGACTCAGAATCAAGAATGGGAAAGAGATTTACTATTCCTTTTATGATTTTTGAATGATTTGTTTTATGTATGAATTACTTTAAAAATGATCTGCCTTATCCAGTGTTCTAAGATGCCCTCCACAAGATTCCTAGTCTTTTGTTATTCAAAGTAAACACTAATATAGTTACTATCGTGAAGAGATCTTGAAGATATAATTAAAGTCGCAAATCAGTTGACTTTAAAATGTAAAGAATATCTGGTGGGCTTGACCTAATGAAATGAAATGTTTAAAAGCAAAAAGTTTTACCTTGCTGGTCAGAGAAAAGCAATCCAGAAATTCAAAACTTGAGAAAAATCCAACGTGCTGTTGCTGGCTTGAAGATGCAAGGGTCCCCATAGCAAGGACTGAGAGCAGCACCTAGGAGCTGAAAGTGGCCCTTGCTCAACAACTAGCAAGAAAACAAGAGCCTCAGTCTTAGGACTGTAAGAAACTAAATTCTGACCACAACCTGAATGAGTTTAGAAGAGGCCCCCGAACCTCAGATGAGATAGCAGCCCCATCTATCATCTTCCAACCATGCCATGCCCAGACTTCTGACCTACAGAAAATGTAAAATGCTAAATGCATATTGTTTGAAGTCCCTTAATTTGTAGTAACTTGTTAAGCAATCATAGATACTTAATATACAAACAAACAAAATCGAAAAACTACAAGAAAATTCTAATTACTCGGGGATTCTAATTCAAAAAGTCTGGAATAAAGCCCAGGAATCTGCATTTTAAATAACCTTCACTGATGATTTTGATACATATAGGTCAATAGACCACAACTTCACTATGAGTAACCCACCATATTGAATTTCCTGAGTGTACACCAAGGCGAATTCTGAGTTTACCACAACTCTTTGATTAATATGCTTGATCTTGCCGTTCTTTTTTGCTTTTCATTTTTTCTTATTTGAAGCTTGGTCTCACATCCAGTTAGGTGCCTTAGCCTTGCTGATTTTCTGTATATTCCATCTTCCACTAAGGTCTTTATATAATTTTGGGCCCATGTAGGTTATCGAAGCTCTATACTGTAATTCTATATCTTTTGAAAACTCTTTTAGCATTTCATGTCTGTGCACTCTTTTAGACCTTAAACAGAATAATATAAACTTTTATTAAGTTTGGATGTGAATTTATTGCCAGTCAATGACACTGTCAGATCCTTAATAGCAAGGAATAAATTTAGGCTTCATTTTATTTTTCCGATGGGAGATATCAGCTTTCTATATACATAGCTCTACAATAACAAATGAATGAATAAAATGATTGGTTAGTATCAAAGAATTTTCTGGGAAAATACTAAGTTTTTGACTTTTAACTTTATTGTTGCATCTAGCACAGAGATACTTAAAATTTCCTAAGTATCTGGTACATTTTACAAGCAGTCTACCAGACACTAGACAACAATAGGAGAAGAAGAGTACCCTTGAAGAATTCATAGCCTAATTGTAGAGATAGCATGAAAGAAATAATATTTATATAATAAGTATATTAGACATATAAATCAAGTATTGAGGAAGCACAGACACAGGAACTACTAGCTATGAGAGAGTGAGAAGGCTTCCCAGAAAAAGTTACATTTAAGGTGAATTGTGAAAGATTAGTACAAGTTTTCCAGACACATAAGTATTTTTAATGATTTTATACAAATTTATACTTTTGAATTAAACATTAGGAGTCACATTAGACATACAAATGTCATTATATGTTTTCAATTTCTTACATATAGATGTGTTTCAGGATTCAAGATAATTCAGACTTTTTAAATGTTATAATGTATACGTTGCATATATTAACAATCTCATCCCCATCTGAAGCAGTACTCTACAATCAAATAGATTAATATTTCTGTCACAATATGTATAGATATTTATGTCCGGTGAACAAACAAAGACAAGAAATGGTCATAAGTCAGTTCAGATCATGTTTTGCCACAAAATAAATTTTGGCATCAGCCTAAACAAAAAGTTGACTCTTCAGTGGTTTTCGGAATTGCAGATTCCATTGTAGAGCTATATATGGTTAAAACATTTTTCAGAAAGGTTTTGCTTCCTTTAAACTAATCGTTGATTTAAAAGAACTCTTTCAGAAGTGGTTGAGGAAAGAATTGAAACCAGATAAATCCAAACAACATCTGGACTCTAGATTTGGCTGGCCAGGTAAATACAAGAAAATAGTACCTGAACAAGAATCATTGTCCCTCTGCCTTTGGCAACCTACATTGCTGCATTTACTTAAATGGAAATTCTTAATCTGAAATAATAGCTCAGTTGCAAATTTCTATACTGAATAAAATTTCCATTAACTGTTATGTGAATAAAGAAAGAATATATAACCCTGACAGAGTGTAGGGCCTAAGGGCAAAATGTCACACTTAAGGATGAGACAGATCATTCATAATCTCAGGGTTACCGGAATAAAATATTCTTTTGTTATAGAACATGATAATTGAGTAGTTTTCTTCCTGGCAAATACTGGCAAACACTTTAGGAATCATTCTTTCCTAGATGTAAAGCTAAGGGAGTGCAGATAGAAGCATACTCTCCAGTTGCCAGCCTGTAAAAGAATCAGAGATGCTAATATTTAAAAATTCTCACATGATGGTAAGCAAGGTGTAGGAAGAGAGGATGCACAAACACACACACACACACACACACACACGCACACACACACACACATTGCAATGCTCTGGAGATTATCCTTCCTGTGCCACTCTTCCTCCACTTTCCCATGAAGCTAATCACTCTGTCTTTTTTTTGTTCCTGTGTATTTTTGTTTAGACATCAATTAGAGTGCTCATTACACTGTGCATTTATGCGTTTAAGTGAGCTCTCCAATACTAGACTGAACTCCAAGAGCAGGAACTGTGTTCTTTTCATTTATGTAGCTAACTGCCACAATGTCTGCTGGGCATTTCTACTTAACACAATGAATAAACTAAAGAAAATGGAAGTAAAAATGAGAGAAAGTCTGATATACATGGCTTTATCACTAATTTCAATTTGAATTATTTTTGGCCCTGGACATCTGGGGCAGTGTCATGTATTCCTTCCCAAATAAAGGATATGGGCCTACTAACAAGCTCATTAGGTTCCACACCAGTGGGTATGTTCATTTACTGCGCATGAGAAAGCAGCAGAGATCATTCAAACCCATGGAATGGGATTTCTTTCATTCCAAAGTGCCTCCCATAAGTTTTCCTTAGCCACAAAAGATCTGTTAGAGACCAGCAAACTTTACTTTGCCTTCTCAAAATATTCCTTTCTCAGGTTTTCTTTTACTCTGTTGTTTTTAGTATTGATAAATACAGGTGAAAGTTGTTGTTTCAGGAACATGAAATGTATAGTCATCACAAATACATGATTTCATAAGTTTAAATTTCTGAGAAAATATTTTTCTATCTGCCTCTATAAAGCGTATTTTATTTTAAAAAGCAGGATTCCACCCAATAAAATTGGTATATTTTGAAACATTATACAAGGTTTGATTTAGAGGAAACAAGGGACATACAATTGAAACAGTTTTTTTTTCTAATGCATGTATTATAATAAAAAGAGAGTTGAGGTGAAAGCTTTAATGATATGCATTGCTTTCTGTCAAGTTCCAAAGTTCACTTGTCCCTGAGATGTGCTTGTACCAAATGTCCCTCTTCTAATTTCTAGTTAACTAAGTCTTAACTTTTGGCCATCTGTATTCTTTGCAAATGATAAAACACTGATTAAAAAATTTTAAAAAATACAAGAAAAAGAAAAGATATATTTGTTTCATGAATTGGAAATAATATTGCTAAAATTTTCATACTATCCAAGTAATCTAAAAATTCAAAGCAATCTCTATCAAAATTTCAATGACATTTTCCACAGTAATAAAAAACAATCCTAATATTCTAATAGAAGAATAATCCAAAACTTTGAATGGAGCTACCAAAGACCCCAAATGGCCAAAACAATCTTCAGTAGAAAAAAAAGAACAAAACACTAAACTAAAGGCATCGTACTATGACAGTATTTAGAGATACTATCATATCTCTAAATAGAGATACTATCATATCTCTAAATCTACTAAAATGTTGTAGTAATCAAGAATATAATACTGACTTATAAATGAATACGTAGCCCAGTAGAACAGAATCCAGAAATAAACCCATGCCTTTATAATGAATAGGTTTTTGACAAAGATGCCAAGAATAAATAATGAAGAGTCTTTTCAATAAATGCTGTTGGGAAAACTGGATATTCATATGCAGAAAAAGGAAATTAGTTATTTATCTTACATCCTATATAAAAGTCAACTCAAAGTGAATAAAATACTTAAACAAAAGACCTGGAACTGTAAAAACATTAGAATAAAATATTGTGGAATAGCTCCATGACATTGGTCTGGTCAGTTACACTATATTGTATTTTATTTTTTGAGACAGGGTCTTATTCTGTTTTCCAGGCTGGAATGAAGTGATGTGATCTCAATCTTGACTCACAGCATCTTCCACCTCCTGGGCTCAATTGATCTTCCCATATTAGCCTTCTGACTAGAGGGGACTACAGGCACACACCACCATATTCAGCTAATTTTTAAATTTTTCATAGGAACAAAGGCTTGCTATGTTGCCCAGACTGATCTCGAACTCCTGGGCTCAAGCGATCTTCCTGCCTTGACCTCCCAAAGCACTGGGATTACAGGCATGAGCCAGCTTTAAATATATATATACACACACATATATAATTCCCAAGACAAGGGAAATAAAAATAAAAATAAACAAATGGGATTACATCAAACTAAAAACGTTCTTCAGAACAAAGAAAATTATTAACAGAGTGAAGAGACAAGCTATGGATTGTGAAAAAAGAGTTTCAACCATAAACCTAAGAAAGGGTTAATATCTAAAATACATAAGGAACGGAAACAACTCAATAGCAAAAAAAAATAAAATTAAATTAAAATTAAAAAACTAAGTAACTCTATTTTAAAATGCACAAAATATTTAAACATTTCCAAAATAAAGATATACAAATGGCAAACATGTATATGGAATAAATAGCTCAAATGCACAGAGATAGAGAATGAAAAAGTGATTACCACAGGTTGATGGGGTAGAGAAAATGGAGATATGTAAGTTAAAAGATACAAAATAGTAGATATCTAGGATGAACAAATTTGGAAACCTAATGTACAACAAGAGGATTAAAGCTAACAAAATTGTATTGTATTAGGGATTTTTGTTAAATAAGATTTTAGCTGCCCATGTCACAAAAAAGTAACTATGCGAGATGATAGATATGTTTATCTGCTTCACTATGGCAACAATTGTACTATGTATATGTATTTAAGTATCTATATATATATATATCCCACAACATCATGTTGTAAGCCTCAAATATACACAATAAAATTTATTTTGAAAAATAAAATAATAAAAATGCAAGCTTTAGAATGGATGATATTGTCTTTCCCATTTGATCTTCCCGCTTCAAGCTAGTAAACAAATCAGTAGTAGTTGCACATACACTTTTGACTTGAAGGGAAAGAAATGTTGTGATAGGCAGGTTTCACCTTAAAGTTGGAAAACTTGTATCCTCTTGAGATATTTTGACATTTCAGGGAAAATAAGTTCTTTGAGATAAGTCATGCATCATAATTGTGTCATTCGTAGCTAACTGTCCCTGCTGGGTTCAGACCTTCAATTAATCAAGCAGCAGGGAAAAATTGATATGTTTATTTCTCTCCATTCCAAGAAATATGGTAACAAAGTGGGCTTCAAACCAACCAATTTCAAGATAATTTAATACATTTCACTGTGATGAATTAGAAGAAAAAAAAACTTCGAAACACGAAGCATTTTTAAAAGAACTTAAAGCCTATAAAAATGGTAAAGTTTCAAAGGTACTTTATCTCATCTGTTCAGCTCATCAAAATAATCCATGTTTTTATTAATCGAGGTCTTCTACTATCTGGTAATTTAAGAGTGTCTTTGTTTCTGGAAATATTTAAGGGGTAGGGAAGTTACATTTCAGCATGCAAAGGAATATTACAGTGACAGCTGCTTGGTTTCCCTACAATATTGTGGGTCATAGTATGTCTGCTATTTATTATTTAATTAAATGAGAAAACAAAGTAAACTGCTAATCATTTTCTAATAATGGGAACAGTAATTTGCTAGTACAGAAAATAGAAAGAAAAACATTTTCTCCATCATATTCCAGTAACTTTGAAGTGTATTCTAGAGGAAAGACTATGGGCCCAGAGAGAATTGTATACGATCTCAAATCTACAACTTGCCTTTGACTGTGGGCCAGGCATATATCCATCTGCTCTGTTATTTCACTTCAATATTTAAAGAACAGGATAAACAGACAGTTACTGTTTAATGTTTAATGAAACCTCTCTCATAGAAATTAATATACTAGATACTATAAATTCCTCAAATAGGAAAAATAGTTGTTTCCACAAATAAAAATAAATCATTTTGAATTAGATGAGAGAGAATATGTAGTACTATTGGAAAATGTGATAATTAATACCTTTCCAATGTGATGAATCAGCAAAATGGTTCAAATGTATGTTATCTCCTTAATTTGCTAGCTAGCCAAACTGTCACACAATTTAAAAATAATAAGCAAGGCATGATTTCTTTTTT
The DNA here is from genome assembly GCF_000001405.40 of Homo sapiens. Taxonomy (NCBI): domain Eukaryota; kingdom Metazoa; phylum Chordata; class Mammalia; order Primates; family Hominidae; genus Homo; species Homo sapiens. Next base: position 87,798,140 of record NC_000023.11, on the reverse strand, counting down.
CTACCCCATACACATTGCCAAGAGCTCCAACTTTCCACTACTTTCCACTCTCTCTATTTTTTAAGCAGGGCTGCTCCAGATATCCTAAGAAAGTGAAATGAATATTGAAGGGGGAATAGATGATTCTATAAATAGAAAATTCCCTATGGGTCTTCATTGGCAGGGCAAGGGAAAGACAATAGGCTTGTGACTATTAATGCCTGCCTTCCTTCATTAATCTAATTTACCAAATTGGTCACTATCCTCTGGTGTATTTAGGGTAAAGACTAAACTGATATAACAAAGAATCCAAAAAGACAGCGCTTTAAAGGTAATAGACATTTGGGTCACCCTTACATACAGTTCATGAAGTAAGCAGTTTAAATTAACTAAATGGTTCTACTCATATGGTCATTAAAAGATCTATGTTCATTTCCCTTTTTTGCAGCACCATTCTCTAAGGCATTACACTAGTCTGTGTAGTCAAGGCTAGGTTATGAGCATATCTGTGTTCTAGTTTATGAGAAAAAAAGCCTGGAACAAATAATATTCTTTCAAAAAATAAGGTCAATGTTGTGCTTACCACTTTGTACACATTGTATTGCTGATAACTCAGTTATAGGGCCACACCTAGTTACAAGGAAATCTGTGTGATGTAGCCTTTACTTGCACAGCAAGATTAACTCTATTGCTATGAAAGAAGGGGGAAAGATATTTGGTTGGACAACCAACAGCTTTCTCTACATCTATGGGGAGTGGGATATCTATATCTTCCTGGGCATCAAGATGACAATTAGCAAATATGATAAATTAGTTCACACTAGTAAGAAAAGCTTGCTTCCTCCAATGTCTCACTTTGTATCAAAACCCAGGATAATTGCAAGTAATACAAGTAATAGGCTGTTTGAACAGTAGCCTTTAAAAGGTAATATTTGAAGTCCTCCACTATTATTGTGTTGCTGTCTATCTCATTTCCTAGGTCTAGTAGTAATTGTTTTTATAAATTTGGGAGCTCCAGTGTTAGGTGCATATATATTTAGGATTCTGATACTCTCCTGTTGAACAAGGCTTTCATCATTATATAATGTCCCTCTGTCTTTTTTAACTGCTGTTGCTTTAAAGTTTGTTTTGTCTGATATAAGAATAGCTACTCCTGCTTGCTTTTGGTGTCCATTTGCATGGAATGTCTTTCTCCATCCCTACACCTAAGTTTATGTGAGTCCTTATGTGTTAGGTGAGTCCCTTGAAGGCAGCAGATACTTGGTTGGTAAATTCTTATCCATTGTGCAATTCTGTACTTTTTAAGTGGAGCATTTAAACCATTTAAAGTCAATGTTAGTATTTAGATGTGAGGTACTATTTCATTCATTGTGCTATTTGTTGCCTGAATGCCTGTTTTGTTTTTGTTTTGGTTTGGTTTGGTTTATTTGTTTGTTTTTGCAGGGGGATGGTTGTATTTTTGTTTTACAGGTCCTGAGAGATTTATGCTATAAAGATGTTCTGTTTCAATATGCTTCCAGGATTTGTTTCAAGATTTAGAGCTCCTTTTAGCAGTTATCTTAGTGCTGGCTTGGTAGTGACAAATTCTCTCAGCATTTGTTTGTCTGAAAAACACTGTACATTTCCTTCATTTATGAAGATTAGTTTAACTGGATAAAAAATTCCCAGCACATAATTGTTTTGTTTAAGGAGGCTGAAAATATGGCCCCAATCCCTTCTAGCTTGTAGGGTTTCTGCTGAGAAATCTGCTGTTAATCTGATAGGTTTTCCTTTATAGGGTACCTGGTGCTTTTGCCTCACAGCTCTTAAGAGTCTTTCCTTTGTCGTGACTTTAGATAACCTGATGACAGTGTACCCACGTGATGATCTTTTTGTAATGAATTTCCCAAGTGTTCTTTGAGCTTCTTGTATTTGGATGACAAGGTCTCTAGCAAGGGTGGGGAAGTTTTCCTCAATTGTTCTCCCAAATATATTTTTCAGACTTTTAGATTTCTTTTCTTCCTCAGGAACACCAATTATTCTTAGGTTTTGTCATTTTACATAATCCCAAACTTCTAGGAGGATTTTATCCTTTTTAAAATTATTTTTTCTTTGTTTTTCTTGGACTGCATTAATTCAAAACCCTTGCCTTTGAGCTCTGAAGTTCTTTCTTCTGCTTGATTCTGTTGATGAGACTCTCCAATACATTGTGCACTTCTCTGAGTGTGTCCTTTAGTTTCTAAAGTTGTGATTTTTTTAATTTATGCCATCTATTTCACTGAATATTTCTCCCCTCATATCTTTTATCATTTTTTTTTATTTCTTTAAGTTGGACTTCACCTTTTTCTGGTGCTTCCTTGATTAGCTTAATAATTGACCTTCTGAATTCTTTTTCAGGGAATTCAGGGATTTCTTCTTGGTTTGGATCCTTTGCTGGTGAGCTAGTGTGATTTCTTAGGGGTGTTACAAAATTTTGTTTTATCATATGACCAGAATTGTTTTTCTGGTTCCTTCTCATTTGGGTAGGCTACGTCAGAGGGAAAATCTGGGGCTCAAGGCTGCTTTTCAGATTATTTTGTTCCACGGGGTCGTCCCTTGATCTAATATTTTTCCTAGTGATGTGGCTTCCTGAATAGCTGAACTGTAGTGATTGTTATTTCTCTTCTGGATTTAGCCACCCAGCAGGGCTATAAGGCTCCAGGCTGGTATTGGGGGATGTCTTCAGAGAGCCCCGTGATGTGAGCTGTCTTCAGGTCTCTCAACCATGGATACCAGCACCTGCTCTGGTGGAGGTGGCAGGGGAGTGAAATGGACTCAGTGAGGGTCCTTAGTTGTAGTTGTTTAATGCACTAGGTTTGTGCTGGTTGAAGTCAACAAAGACACAATGGATTTAAGCTATACCCTAGAACAAATGGACTTAAGAGATATTTACAAAACATTCTACCCAACAACCACAGAATATACATTCTATTCTTCAGCGCATGGAACTTTCTCCAAAATAGACCATATGATAGGCCACAAAACAAGTCTCAATAAATTTAAGAAAACGGAAATTATATCAAGTACTTTCTCAGACCACAGTGGAATAAAATTGGAAATAAACTCCAAAAGGAACCTTCAAAACCACGCAAATACATGGAAATTAAATAACCTGCCCCTGAGTGATCATTGGATCAACAATGAAGTCCATATGGAAATTAAAAAAATTCTTTGAACTAAATGATAATTTTGACACAACCTATCAAAACTTCTGGGGTACAGCAAAGGCAGTCATAAGAGGAAAGTTTATATCCTTAAATGCCTACATTAAACAGTCTGAAAGAGCAAAAATAGTCAATCTAAGGTCACACCTTAAGGAACTAGAGAAAAAACAAATCAAACCAAACCAAAATCCAGCAGAAGAAAACAAATAACAAAGATGAGAGCAGAACTAAGTGAAATGAAACAAAAAATACAAAAGATAAATGAAACAAAAAGCTGGTTTTTTGAAAAGAAATAAAGTTCATAGACTATTAGAAAGATTAACCAAGAAAAGAGAGAAGATCCAAATAAACTCAAGTAGAAACAAAACAAGAGATATTACAAGTGACACCACAGAAATACAAAAGATCATTCAAGGCTACTATAAGCACTTTTACATTCAAAAACTAGAAAACCTAGAGGAGATGAATAAATTCCTGGAAAAATACAACCTTCCTAGCTTAAACCAGGAAGAATTACAAACCCTGAACAGATCAAGAATAAGGAACGAGATTGAAATGGTAATAAAAAATGACCAACAACAAAAAATGTGAAGGACCAGACAGATTCACAGCTAAATTCTATGAGACATTGAAAGAAGAATTGATACCAATCCTATTGACACTATTTCAAAATATATAGAGAGGGTGAATCCTCTGTAAATTACTCTATGAAGCCACTATCACGCTAAAAACAAAACAAGGAAATAACATTAAAAAAAAAAACCCTACACACAAATATCCCTGATAAACACAGATGCAATAATCCTTAACAAAATACTAGTTAACCAAATCTAACAACATATCAAAAAGATAGTCCATGATTAAGAGGGTTTCATAGCAGGGATGCAGGAATAGTTTAACATTTGCAAGTCAATAAATGTTATACACCCCAAAACAGAATTAAAAACAGAAATCACATGATTATCTCAATTGATACAGAAAAAGCATTTAACAAAATCCAGCATCCTTTTATAATTAAAACCATCAACAAAATTGGCATAAATGGACATACTTCAATGCAATTAAAGCTATCTATGACAAACCCACAGCCAACATAATACTGAATGGGGAGAAGTTGAAATCATTCCCTCTGAGAACCAGAACAAGACAAGGATGCTCACTCTGACCACTTTTATTCAACATAGTATCAGAGGTCCTAGCCAAAGCAATCAGTCAAGAGACAGAAATAAAGGGCATCCAAATTAGTAAAGAGGAAATCAAACTGTAGCTGTTTGCTGATGATATGACTGTATACCTAGAAAACCTTAAAGACTCCTCCAAAAAGCTCCTAGAACTGATTAATGAATTCAGCAATGTTTCTGGGTACAAAATTAATGTACAAAAATTAGTAGCTCTGCTATACACCAACAGTGACCAAGCTGAGAATCAAATCAATATCTCAACCCATTTTACAATAGGTTAAAAAAATACATAGGAATATACCTAACCAAGGAGGTGAAAGACCTCTACAAGGAATACTACAAAACACTGTTGACAGAAATTATAGATGACACAAACAAAAGGAAACACATTCCATGCTCATGAATTGGTAGAATCGGTATTGTGAAAATGACCGTACTGCCAAAAGCAATCTACAAATTCAATACAATTCCTATCAAAATACCACCATCATTCTTCACATAACTAGGAAAAACAATCCTAAAACTCACATGGAACCAAAAAAGAGCCTGCATAGGAAAATCCAGACTAAGAAAAAAGAACAAATCTGGAGGCATCACATTACCTGATTTCAAGCTATACTATAGGGCCATAGTCACCAAAACAGCATGGTACTTGTATAAAAATGGGCATATAGATCAAAGAAACAGAATAGAGAACCCAGAAATAAACCCAAATACTTATGGCCAACTGATTTTGACAAAGCAAACAAAAGCATAAAGTGGGGAAAGGACACCCTATTCAACAAATGGTGCTGGGATAATTGGCAAGCCACATGTAGGAGAATAAAACTAGATTCTAATCTCTCACCATATATGAAAATCAACTCAAGATGGATCAGGGACTTAAATCTAAGGCCTGAAAGTATAAAAATTCTAGAAGATAACATTGGAAAAACCCTTCCAGACATTGGCTTAGGCAAAGACTTTATGACCAAGAACCAAAAGCAAATGACAAAAAAAAATGATAAATTGCTGGGACTTAATTAAACTAAAGAGCTTCCACACAACAAAAGGAAAACTCAGGAGAGTAAACAGACAACCCACAGCATGGGAGGAAATATTCACAATCTATACATCTGACAAAGGACTAATAACCAGAATCTACTAGGAACTCAAACAGATTAGCAAGAAAAAAAATCCCATCAAAAAGCGGGCTAAGGACATGAATAGACAACAACATCACTAATGATCAGGGAAATGCAAATCAAAATCACAGTGCAATACCACATTACTCTTGCAAGAATGGCCAGAATCAAAAAAGTAAAAGTAATAAAAATAGATGTTGGCATGGATATGGTGAATAGATAACACATCTACACTGCTGGTGAGAATGTAAACTAGTTAACTACTATGGAAAATGGTGTGTAGATTCCAGAAAAAACTAAAAGTAGATCTACTGTTTGATTCAGCAATCCTGCTACTGGATATCTACCCAGAGGAAAAGAAGTCATTATACAAAAAAGATGCTTGCACATGCATGTTTATAGCAGCACAATTCGCAATTGCAAAAATATGGAACCAGCCCAAATGCCCATCAATCAATGAGTGGATAAAGAATATATATATATAAGAAAAATATATATGATATATATAAGATATATATATGATATATATAAGATATATATGATATATATAAGATATATATGATATATATATGATATATAAGATATATATATGATATATATCATATATATGATATATATGATATATATGATATATATGATATATATAAGATATATATGATATATAAGATATATATGATATATATAAGATATATATGATATATATGATATATATGATATATATAAGATATATCTATGATATATCTATAAGATATATATGATATATATATCTATGATATATCTATAAGATATATATGCTATATATAAGATATATATGATATATATAAGATATATATTATATATAAGATATATATGATATATATAAGATATATATTATATATAATATATATATGATATATATAAGATATATATATGATATATACAAGATATATATATATGATATATACATAATGGAATACTACTCAGCCATAAAAAGGAATGAATGAATGGCATTTGCAGCAACCTGGATTAAACTGGAGACTATTATTCTAAGTGAAGTAACTCAGGAATGGAAAACCAAACATCGCATGTGCTCCTTCATAAGTGGGAGCTAAGCTATGAGGATGCAAAGGCATAAGAATGACACAATAGACTTTGGAGAATGGGGGAAAGGAAGGGAGGGCAATGAGGGAGAAAAGACTACAAATTGGATTTAGTTTATACTGCTCAGGTGATGGGTACATCAAAATCACACAAATCACCACTAAAGAACTTACTCATGTAACCAAATACTGCCTGTTTCCCAAAAACCTACAGAAATAAAAAACTTTTTTAAAAAGGCTGTACTTTTACTCTGGGGCATTACTCAGATGGTGATGTGGTAATAGAGATATGGGATTCCCACAGATTTAGAGAGAATTGGAAATCGATGGAAAAATCTGACGAGAACTAAATAAGTTGGAGTTTTTGAGAAAATGCAAACCATAGGCATAAGCAACAGTTGTTTGTTTACCGGTCAGGTTTCCATTTTATTTTTGCTAGTTCAGAGATTGTTAAAAATATTCATGCATGAACAACTTTTTCAGCTACATGAAAAGAAGATGTTAGGATACTATTCCATGATATAATAACTCTAAGGAAGGTAGCTGCCATACAGGTAAAACAAGATGCCATAGAAAAACTATTATTTTGCTTTGATATTATATAAAATACATGGAGCAATTAACCGGGAACCTTCAGTGACACAGACAAGTGCCAAGACAATCAGACTTCAAGTCTTTCACAAACAAACTTTACTCAATCCTTGACTTCTTTACTCACTTTTGGAACTTGTATATTCATGTTATAGAGATCAAAGTGCTCAGATTAATTTTAATAATCTGCAAAGTTAGAAAGTTATCTTAATATTTAAGCATTGAATGGAGCCTGTTTATTTGTATTCAGTTGGTCATGTGTCTTAGTATTAACCAAGTCTGAGAAATCCCAGGAGTAGGATTGCTGGATCAAACAGTATATCTAATTTTAGTTCTTTCAGGAATCTACACACTGTTTTCCATAGTGGTTGTACTAGTTTACATTCTCATCAGTAGCGTAGATGTGTTCCCTTTTTGCCATATCCATGCCAATTTTGTGTATGAAAAACCTAACTCCATACATTAATCTTCTCGTTTTCTCTTGCTAATTTTCTCTTGTTACATGTCAATAAGATAGCTTGGAGTCGGTTTTTGATAAAATCTTCCCTTACTTTATTTTGGTTCGTTTGGTTCGCTCTTATGATTCCTGAATAAGCAAATTACCCTTCCCTCTCTGTGGTATAATTTATAGGTTTCAGAATTCTCATAAAAAATAAATCAAATCCATGTATCTTTCTTAGCATAGAAAAAACACTGTATTAAAATTAAAACCAACTTTATTTCTGCCTTTAAACCATTTTCTAATTCAAGTGTGGGAATTATAAAGCTGTCAATAGCCCAAAGAGTGCTTGCCATAATGAGGTTCAGAAATAGATTTTGTTACATTTTTTGACTAGTGAAAATTACAACTAAGTCCCAGAATATTCTGCTTTTGTCCGTACCCTCAGCAGCAAAGCCAGGGATCTGTTTTCAATTAAGATCCCTTTTCTTTCCTCTTTGTTTGAGGCACATAGGTAAATTGAGATACTAGCAATTTTTAGAATTTAATTATTAATGAGTTAATTTTAAAACTTTAGGTTACATTTCCTGAGCATTAAATGTTATTAATTGTAATATGGCATAAATTAAATGAGTGACTTTTAGACATTTTTTTTTAGTTAACCAACACAGTATAAACGAAATCTATTATTTGAAGCACTGAGAAAAAGTAATTTATTTTGAGAGAATTCTAGGGTGTTCTTCTATGATGAGCACCAAGATTTGATAGTATGGAACCAATGCTCACATTTTAAATCTTATATACAAAGAAACAAATCATCTTTTTCCTGTTGTAATCTAAATGAAGTTGAATGTGATTAAAGGTGGAAGGCAGGTTTGTATCACTGGCTGCAGAGCTCAACTAGTCTATTTTCAATCTATTCAACAAATGAGTGAGGGGTATGCATCAGAGATGTTGAGACTGCATACAGAATAATACAGGTCTATCATCTGCACAGCGCAAGAATTCTGGACCTTCACTGCTTGACACTTGATATTGTTTGGCTCTGTGTCCCCACCCAAATCTCACCTTGAAGTATAATAATCCCCATGTGTCATGGAGGGGACCCAGCGGGAGGTAATTGAATCATGAAGGCAGGTTTTTCTCATACCATTTTCGTGATAGTGAATAAGTCTAACAAGATCTGATGGTTTTATAAAGGAGGGTTCTCCTACATATGCACTCTTGCCTGCTGCCATGTAAGACATGGCTTTGCTCATCCTTCACTTTCCACCATGATTATGAGGCCTCCCCAACTATGTGAAACTGTGAGTCCACTAAACCTCTTTTTCTTTACAAATTACCCAGTCTCTGGTATGTCTTTATCAACAACATAAGTATGGACTAATATAGCAAATTGGTACCAGGAGTGGGGTACTACTATAAAGATACCCAAAAATATAAAAATGACTTTGGGTAACAGGCAGTGGTTGAAAGAGTTTAGAGGGCTGAAAAGAAGACAAAATAGTGGGAAAGTTTAAAACTTCCTAAAGATATGTTGAATGGCTTTGACCAAAATACTAATAATGATATGGACAATAAAGTCCAAGCTTAGGTGGTCTCAGATGAAGATGAATAACTTATTGGGAACTAGAACAAAGGTGACTCTTGTTGTACTTTAACAAAGAGACTGACAACATTGTGCCCCTGCCCTAGAGGTCTGTGGAACTTTGAACTTGAGAGAGATGATTTAGGGTATCTAACAGAAGAAATTTTTAAACAGCAAAACATTTGAGAGGAAACAGAACATAAAAGTTTAGAAAATTTACAGCCTGATGATACAATAAAAAAAGAAAATCCCATTTTCTGGAGAGAAATTCAAGCCTACTGCAGAAATTTACATAAGTAACTAAGAGCCAAATATTACTCACAAGGACAATAGAAAAAGTGTCTCCAGGATATGTCAGAGACCTTCAAGACAGCACCTCCCATCACAGGCCCCAGAGGCCTAGAAGGAAAAAATAATTCATGGGCTGGGCCCAGGGCCCTCCTGCTGTGTACAGCCTAGGGACTTGATACTCTACATCCCAGCCACTCCAGCCTAGACTAAAAGGGGCCAAGGTACAGCTCAGGCCATGGCTTCAGATGGTACCAGCCCCAAGCCTTGACAACTTCCATAGGGTGTCAAGCCTGTGGGTGCACAGAAGTCAAAAATTGAGTTTTGGGATCCTCAGCCTAGATTTCAGAGGATATAAAGAAACACCTAACACCTAGATATTCAGACAAAAGTTTACTACAGGGATGAAGCTTTCACGGAAAACCTCTACTAGGAAAGTACGGAAGAGAAATGTGGGTTTGGAGCCCCCAAACAGAATCCCCACTAGAACACTGCCTAATGAAACTGTGAGAAGATGGCCACTGTCATCCAGACACCAGAATGATAGACCCACCAAAAACTTATGCCATATGCCTATAAAACCTACAGACACTCAATGCCAGCCCATGAAAAAAAACTGAGAGGAAGACTGTACCCTACAATGCCACAGGAGCAGAACTGCCCAAGGCCATGGAAGCACAGCTCTTATATCAATGTGACCTGGATGTGAGACATGGAATCAAAGAGATCATTTTAAAACTTTAAGGTTTAACGACTGCCCTATTAGATTTCAGACTTACATCGGGCCTGTGACCTCTTTGCTTTGGCCAATTCTCCCATTTGGAATGGCTATATTTATCCAATGCCTGTACCCTCATTGTATCTAGGAAGTAACTAACTTACTTTTAACTTTATAGACTCATCGATGGAAGAGACTTGCCTAGTCTCAAGTGAGACCTTGAAGTATAGATTTTGAATTAATACTGAAATGAATTAGCACTTTGGGAGACAGATGAGAAGACATGATTAATTTTAAAATATGAGGACATGGGATTTGGGAGGGGCTAGGGGCAGAATAATATAGTTTGGCTCTGTGTCACCACCCAAATCCCACCTTGAATTATAATAATCTCCACCTGTCATGGGAGGGACCTGGTGAAAGGTAATTGAATCATGGAAGTGGGTTTTTCCCATACTGTTCTCGTGATAGTATATAAGTCTTATGAGATCTGATAATTTTGTAAAAGGGAGTTCCCCTACACACACTCACTTTCCTGCCACCATGTAAGACATACCTTTGTTTATCCTTCATTTCCGCCATGAGACCTTCCCAACCATGTGAAACTGTGAGTCCATTAAACCTCTTTTTTTATATAAATTACCCAATCTCAGGTATGTCTTTATTAACAACATGAGAATGGACTAATACAATACCAGAGCAATAGTATTTGTAAATTGAGAATTCTACCAGGAATCTGAACTATTCCATAGCCATGTTTTAAGTAGAAGAATAGTTAGTTTGCATGTTTAGTTACCTCCACAAGTAATTTCATTCAAAGCAAAATGATAAAATGTAAAAACCATGAAAGAATTTTAATTGACATTATCAATGTAAGTAGTTTAAAACTTAGACAATCAGTATATAAAAACTTCTGTGTATGTGTGTGTACAGTTCACAAAACTGACTACTTACAAACCAGTTGGTTTTGTTCAGTTGCTATTATCATGTTCACTCCAGTATTTCAGCATAGTATAATACAATACTTGTCAAATAAAGGAGGTTGAATAAATATATTTGAATTAATTCAATAAACATTTGTTAAGTGTAAATGTATCAAATATCAGGCACAAATTAAAACTTGTCAAAATGCTATGGAAATTTTATAATACTAAATATTTAAATAGCCATATAGTTTGCATTATTTAATAAAGGTGGACCTGAAAGAAGCTAGTTTTCTATTGGGACCTCACAAACATTCTTTCTAGATCTTCATGCTACCAGAATGCCCTACAGATGCCTTTGATATTTTAATTCTGAATTAATTCTTTGGATAGGAGGACTGATATGGTTTAGCTGTGTTGCCACTCAAATCTCATCTTCAATTCCCGTTCCCACCTGTTGTGGGAGGGACCTGGTGGGAGGTAACTGGATCATAGGGGCAGGTCTTTCCCATGGTGTTCTCACGGTGGTGGGTGGGTCTTATGAGATCTAATGGTATCATAAGGGGGAGTTTCCCTGCACAAGCTCTTTTTCTTTGCCTGTTGCCATCCATGTAAGATGTGACTTGCTTCTTGCCTTCTGCCATGGTTGTGAGGCTTCCCAGCTGCATGGAACTGTAAGTCCATTAAATATCTTTCTTTTGTAAATTGCCCATTCTTGGGTATGTCTTTATCAGCAACATGAAAACGGACTAATACAGGGTCTAAATGTGAAATTGCCCTGTCATCTGGCAGGTGGCAAGCTTTTATATGTTAAGGTACTCAGGTTGGACAGGAGAACAAATAATTTAAAAAAATAAAAATGTGACATATGGAACAAGGTAAATGTCTCCTTATGTTTCCAAATGAAGGTTTTTTAAAGATATACAAATATACTTGAGTTTTAGGTTTGACCAAAAAAATCATAGTTTGGTGCTGTGCAAATACTTATGTAGATATTCCAATAAAAGGGCTATAGGGAAGAATTTTAAAAGAATTTAAAATAGACTGAAGGATTATTAGGTGTTAATATAGTCTGGATATTTTTCTCCCCCAAATCTCATGTTGAAATGTGATCCCCAAGGTTAGAAGTGGGGTTTAGTGGAAGGTGTTTGGGTTATGGAGTTGCATGCCTTATGAAGGGCTTAGTGACTTCCTCATGGTAATGAGTGAGTTCTTGCTCTATTAATTCCTGAAAGAACTGGTTGTTTTAAAAAACTGGAACCTCTTTGCCTCTCTCTTGCTCTTTATATTGCTGTGTGACACACTGGCTCCCTTTGTCTTCCGCTATGAGTAAAAACTTCCTGAGGCCCTTACCAGAATCAGATGCTGATGCAGTGCTTTTTGTACAGTCTGCAAAACCATGAGCCAAATGAACCTCTTTTCTCTGTGTTACCCAGACTCTGGTATTCTTTTATTATATTGCAAATCAGACTGATACAGGTGTCTTCAGTAGAAAAAAAAAAGCTGTTTTCTTGAACACACTTCTGCTGGATTATCTAATTTTATGGAAATTGTGGGAGGTTTTTTGTCTTATTTTGTTTTGCATTCAGCTATTTTACAACTTCTAATTTATAAAAACCCCAGTTTCTTGTACTTTCACATGACTTCTCTCTGTGTTTCATTATTAATTAATGATTAAAATATAACATTTGACATGCGTTCATTTTGTATTTCTGTGAGGTTCATGGTTATGATCAATTACAATTTGTCCCTTTAAAGTTTTGGATGTTCCACAGAGATACCCAATAAATTTTTCTGGCAGAGTGAGATACATGGCATTGCTGTCAGAGAGTCCCGCATTATGGGATTAAGATCCTGCTCTTAAGATTGGTTAGGCTGAACCACATCAGTGTGTCTAGAGATAATTATTCATGCTACTAAGATAAGTCACTTCTGATAACTCTATTTAATGCCCTGTGAGACTTTCCAGTGTGGCTAATGAGAACAGGTACTACTCCTTGCTTTGTTAGAGTACGAGGTAGTTTTCCCTCTAAACATATTTGCTGCTTTTCTGCTATGCTACCCTCAGGTAGTTTATTTGTATACATATACTGATCAGTACTCCGCTGCATAATTATAGAGATTCTTTCCTTGTTTGAGAAGTCCTCACTCTTTGAAGTTCTCTCCCCTCTTGTACTGTGTCCTACAAACCCTAGCAGCCTTGGTCTCCCTAGACTCTCAGCTTCATCTCCTCTACTGAGGGGTTCTGCTGAATTCCATCTGGGTTTCCCCTCTGCTATGGTTTGGATCTTAGTTCCCCCTCATTTTAAAATTTGATCCCCAGTGTTGGAGGTGGCACCTAATAGGAGGTGTTTGAATCATGATGGTGGATCCCTCATGAATGGGTTGGTGCCATCTTCTTGGTAATTAGTGAGTACTCACTTTATTAGTTCCTATGAAAACTGGTTATTAAAAAGAGCCTGGTACCTCGCCCTTTTTCTCTCTTGCTTCCTCTTTTACCATGTAATTTCTGGACATGCTGGATCCTCTTTGTATTCCACCATGAGTGGAAGCAGCCTGTGGTCCTCATTAGGTGCAGAAGCCCAATCTTTAATTTTTACAGACACTGAAACTGTTAGTCAGATAAACCTATTTTCTTTATAAATTACATATCCTGAGATATTCCTTTATAGCAACACTAAATGGGCTAAGGTACACTCTATTCACAGCAGCCTAGAAAAACTCACAAGGCAATAAACCATGGAAATCGTAAGGCTCATTTTATTTCTTTTCTGTCTATGAGAGATCACTGTTCTCTTTACCTAATGTTTTGTCTCCTGAAAAATGTTTCATTTATTTTGTCTGTTGATTGGTTGTTTGGAGAGTAAATTTTCCTTTTTATAAACATTTTCTTTTTTTATAAACATTTAATAGTATTATCTGGCCCTTGGGGACAAAGAGAATGCTTTGGCTGAGTGCTTGTAGTGGCAGAGTATCCACTGCTGCAAGAATAAAAAGACTCAGTAATGAGATTTCTGGGTCAAATGGTATTTCTGTTTCTAGATGCTTGAGGAATCGCCACACTGTCTTCCACAATGGGGGAACTAATTTACAATCCCATCAACAGTATAAAAGCATTCCTATTTCTCTAACTCCTCTCCAGCATCTGTTGTTTCCTGACTTTTTAAAGATCACCATTCTAACTGGTGTGAGATGGTATCTCATTGTGACTTTGATTTGCATTTCTCTAATGACCAGTGATTATGAGTTTTTTTATATGTTTGTTTGTCGCATAAATGTCTTGTTTTGAGAAGTGTCTGTTCATATCATTTGCCCCTTTTCGATGGGGTCGTTTGCTTTTTTCTCATGAATTTGTTTAAGTTCCTTGTAGATTCTGAATGTTAGCCCTTTGTCAGATGGATAGATTACAAAATTTTCTCCGATTCTATAGGTTGCCGGCTCACTCTGATGGCACTTTCTTTTGCTGTGCAGAAGCTCTTTAGTTTAATTATATCCCATTTGTCAATTTTGGCTTTTGTTGCTATTGCTTTGGTGTTTTAGTTATTAAGTCTTTGCCCATGTCTATATCCTGAATGGCATTGCCTAGGTTTTCTTCTAGGGTTTTTATGGTTTCAGGTATTACATTTAAGTCTTTGATCCATCTTGAGTTAATTTTTGTATAAGGTGTAACAAAGGGGTCCAGTTTCAGTTCTGCATATGGCTAGCCAGTTCTCCCAACACCATTTATTAAATAGGGAATTCTTTCCTCATTGCTTATTTTTGTCAGGTTTGTCAAAGATCAGATGGTTGTAGATGTGTGGTGTTATTTCTGAGTAATCTGTTCTGTTCCACTGGTCTATATATCTGTTTTAGTACCAGTATCATTCTGTTTTGGTTACTGTAGCCTTGTAGTATAGTTTGCAGTCAGGGAGCATGATGCCTCCAGCTTTGTTCTTTTTGCTTAGGATTGTCTTGGCTATATGGGCTCTTTTTTGGTTCCATATGAAATTTAAAGTAGTTCTTTTCTAATTCTGTGAAGAAAGACAATGGTAGCCTGATAGGGATAGCATTGAATCTGTAAATTACTTTGGGCAGTATGGCCATTTTCACGATATTGATTCTTCCTATCCATGATCATGTAATGGCTTTCCATTTGTTTGTGTCCTCTCTTATTTCCTTAAGCATTGGTTTGTAGTTCTCCTTGAAGAGGTCCTTCACATCCCTTGTAAGTTGTATTCCTAGGTATTTTATTCTCTTCGTAGCAATTGTGAATGGGAGTTCACTCATAATTTGGCCCTCTGTTTGTCTATTATTGATGTATAGGAATGCTTGTGATTTTTGCACATTGATTTTGTATCCTGAGACTTTGCTGAAGTTGCTTATCAGCTTAAGGAGATTTTGGGCTGAGACAATGGGAATTTCTAAATATACAATCATGTCATCTGCAAACAGAGACAATTTGACTTCGTCTTTTCCTATTTGAATATGCTTTATTTCTTTCTCTTGGCTGATTGCCCTGGCCAGAAATTCCAATATTATGTTGAATAGGAGTGGTGAGAGAGGGAATCCTTGTGTTGTGCCGGTTTTCAAAGGGAATGCTTCCAGCTTTTGCCCATTCAGTATGATATTGGCTGTGAGTTTGTCATAAATAGCTCTTATTATTTTGAGATACGTTCCATCAATACCTAGTTTATTGAGAGTTTTTAGCATGAAGCGGTGTTGAATTTTATTGAAGGCCTTTTCTGCATCTATTGAGATAATCGTGTGGTTTTTGTCATTGGTTCTTTTATGTGATGTATTATGTTTACTGATTTGTGTATGTTGAACCAGGCTTGCTTCCTAGGGATTGAAGCCGACTTGATTGTGGTGGATAAGTTTTTGATGTGCTGCTGGATTCGGTTTGCCAGTATTTTATTGAGAATTTTTGCCACAATGTTCATCAGGGATATTAGCCTGAAATTTTCTTTTTTTGTTGTGTTTCTGCCAGGTTTTGGTATCAGGATGATGCTGGCCTCATAAAATGAGTTAGGAAGGGGTCCCTCTCTTTCTATTATTTGAAATAATTTCAGAAGGAATGGTACCAGCTCCTCTTTGAACCTCTGGTAGAATTCAGCTGTGAATCCATCTGATCCTGGGCTTTTTTTTGTTGGTAGGCTATTAATTACTGCCTCAATTTCAGAACTTGTTATTGGTATATTCAGGGATTTGACTTCTTCCTGGTTTAGTCTTGGGAGGGTGAATGTGTCCAGGAATTTATACATTTCTTCTAGACTATCTAGTTGATTTGCGTAGAGGTGTTTGTAGTATTTGCTAATGGTAGTTTGTATTTGTGTGGGATCAGTGGCGATATCCCCTTTATCATTTTTATTGTATCTATTTGATTCTTCTCTCTTTTCTTCCTTACTAATCTCACTAGCAGTCTATCTATTTTGTTAATCTTTTCAAAAAACCAGCTACTGGATTTATCGATGTTTTGAAGGGTCTTTCGTGTTTCTATCTCCTTCAGTTCTGCTCTGATCTTAGTTATTTCTTGTCTTCTGCTAGCTTTTGGATTTGTTTTTTCTTGCTTCTCTAGTTCTTTTAATTGTGATATTAGGGTGTCGATTTTAGATCTTTCTCACTTTCTCCTGTGGGCATTTAGGGCTATAAATTTTACTCTATAACTGTGACCCAGAGATTCTGGTACATTGTGTCCTCGTTCTCTTTGGTTTCAAAGAACTTATTTATTTCTGACTTCATTTCATTATTTACCCAGCAGTCATTCAGGAGCAGGTGTTCAGTTTCCATGTAGTTGTGTGGTTTTGAGTGAGTTTCTTTATCCTGAGTTCTAATTTGATCGCACTGTGGTCTGAGAGACAGTTGGTTATGATTTCCATTCTTTTGCATTTGCTGAGGAGTGTTTTACTTCCAATTATGTGGTAAATTTTAGAATAAGTGTGATGTGATGCTGGGAAGAATGTATACTCTGTTGATTTGGGGTGGAGAGTTGTGTAGATGTCTATTAGGTCTGCTTGGTCCAGACCTGAGTTCAAGTCCTGAATATCCTTGTTAATTTTCTGTCTGGTTATCTGTCTAATACTGACAGTGGGATGTTAAAGTCTCCCACTAGTATTGTGTGTAAGTCTAAGTCTCTTTGTAGGTCTCTAAGAGCTTGCTTTATGAACCTGGGTTCTTTTGTATTGGGTGCACATATATTTAGGTTAGCTCTTCTTGTTGCATTGATCTCTTTACCATTATGTGATGCCCTTCTTTGTCTTTTTTGATCTTTGTTGGTTTAAAGTCAGTTTTAACAGAGACTAGGATTGCAACCCCTGATTTTTTGTTTTTGTTTTCCATTTGCTTGGTAAATAATCCTCCATCCCTTTATTTTGAGCCTAAGTGTGTCTTTGAACATGAGCTGGGTCTCCTGAATACAGCACACCAATGGGTCTTGACTTTTTATCAAATTTGCCAGTCTGTGTCTTTTAATTGGGGCATTTAGCCAGTTTACATTTAAGGTTAATATTGTTATGTGTGAATTTGATCCTGACATTATGATGCTAGCTGGTTATTTTGCCTGTTAGTTGATGCAGTTTCTTCATAGAGTTGATGGTCTTTACAATTTGGTATGTTTTTGCAGTGGCTGGTGTAGGTTTTTTTCTTTTGATATTTAGTACTTCCTTCAGAAGCTCTTGTAAGGCAAGGCTGGTGGTGACAAAATCTCTCAGCTTTTGCTTGTCTGTGAAGGATTTTATTTCTCCTTCACTTATGAAGCTTAGTTCGCCTGGATATGAAATTCTGGGTTGAAAATTCTGTTCTTTAAGAATGTTGAATATTGGCCCCACTCTCTTCTGGCTTGTAGGGTTTCTGCAGAGAGATCTGCTGTTAGTCTGATGGGCTTCCCTTTGTGAGTAACCCAAGCTTTCTCTCTGGCTGCCCTTAACATTTTTTCCTTCATTTCAACCTTGGTGAATCTGATGATTATGTATCTTGGGGTTGCTCTTCTTGAGGTGTATCTTAGTGGTGTTCTCTGTATTTCCTGAATTGGAATGTTGGCCTGTCTTGCTAGGCTGGAGAAATTCTCCTAGATAATATCCTGAAGAATATTTTCCAACTTGGTTCCATTCTCCCCACCACTTTCCGGTACACCAATCAAATTAGGTTTGATCTTTTCACATAGTCCCATATTTCTTGGAGGCTTTGTTTGTTCCTTTTCATTCTTTTTTCTCTAATCTTGTCTTCATGCTTTATTTCATTAAGTTGATCTTCAATCTCTGATATCCTTTCTTCTGCTTGGTCGATTCGGCTATTGATACTTATGTATGCTTCTTGAAGCTCTCATGTTGTGTTTTTCAGCTCCATCACGTCATTTATTTTCTTCTCTAAACTGGTTATTCTAGTTAACAATTCCTCTATCCTTTTTTCAAGATTCTTAGCTTCCTTGCATTGGGTTAGAACATGCTCCTATAGCTCGGAGGAGTTTGTTATTACCCACCTTCTGAAGCCTACTTCTGTCAATTTGTCAAACTCATTCTATGTCCAGTTTTGTTCCCTTCCTGGCAGGGAATTGTGATCCTCTGGAGGAGAAGGGACATTCTGGCTTTTGGAATTTTCATCCTTTTTTTTGCTGTTTTTTCATCATCTTTGTGGATTTTTCTACCTTTGGTCTTTGAAGTTGATGATCTTCAGATGGGGTTTTTGTGTGGATGTCCTTTTTGTGGATGTTGATGCTATTCCTTTCTGTTTGTTAGCTTTCCTTCTAACAGGCGCCTCTGCTGCAGGTCTGCTGGAGTTTTCTGGAGGTCCACTCAAGACCCTGTTTGCCTGGGTATCACCAGTGGAGGCTGCAGAACAGCAAAGATTGCTGCCTATTTCTTCCTCTGGAAGCTTTGTCGCAGAGATGCACCCACCAGATGCCAGCCAGAGGTCCCCTATATGAGGTGTCTCTCGACTTCTGCCAGGAGACATCTCCCAGTCAGGAGACATTGGGGTCAGGGACCCAGTAGAGGAGGCAGTCTGTCCCTTAGCAGAGCTCGAGTGCTGTGCTGGCAGATCCGCTGCTCTCTTCAGAGATGGCAGGAAGGAACGTTTAAGTCTTCTGAAGCTGTGCCCACAGCCGCCCCCTTCCCCCAGGTGCTCCGTCCCTGGGAGATGGGAGTTTTGTCTTTAAGCCCCTGACTGGGGCTGCTGCCTTTCTTTCAGTGATGCCCTGCCAGAAGAGGAATAATCTAGAGAGGCAGTCTGGCTACAGCAGCTTTGCCAGGCTGCAGTGGGCTGCACCCAGTTCAAACTTCCTGTTGGCTTTGTTTACACTGTGAGGGGAAAACTGCCTACTCAAGCCTCAGTAATGGCGGATGCCCCTCCCCCCCACCAAGCTTGAGCATCCCAGGTTGACTTCAGACTGCTGTGCTGGCAGCGAGAATTTCAAGCCAGTGGATCTTAGCTTGCTGTGCTCCATAGGGGTGGGATTCACTGAACTAGATCACTTGGTTCTTTGGCTTCAGCCCCCTTTCCAGGGTAGTGAACAGACTGTCTCGCTGGAATTCCAGGCACCACTGAGGTATGAAAAAAAACTCCTGCTGCTAGCTGGGTGCCTGCCCAAATGGCTGCCCAGTTTTGTGCTTGAAACCCAGGGCGCTGGTGGTGTAGGCACCCAAGGGAATCTCCTGGTCTGCAGGTTATGAAGACTGAGGGAAAAGCATAGTATCTGGGCTGGAATGCACCATTCCTCATGGCACAGTCCCTCACAGCTTCCCTTGGCTAAGGGAGGGAGTTCCCTGACCCCCTGCGCTTCCCGAGTGAGGCAACGCCAGAAACTGCTTCAGCTCACCCTCTGTGGACTGCACCCACTGTCTAACCAGTTTCAATAAGATGAGCTGGGTACCTCAGTTGGAAATGCAGAAATAACTTGCCTTCTGCGTTGATCTCGCTGGGAGCTGCAGACCAGAGCTGTTCCTATTTGGCCATCTTGCTAGCCACACCTTTAGGATGTTTTCTACAACCAAGTCAGAGTGATCATATTTTATTTTTTAACTATAGCTAAAACACCACAATCAGACATAACTTGTTATAAGCCTTAGTTTGGAAGTGGTTTATTTCACCTTTGCTCATGTTGCTTTGCCAGTAATTCAGTCACATGACCCCAACTGACCTGCATGGGAGGATGGACAACGTATACATGACAAAGAGGAAACAGAATTTTTGGAGTACAACTAGCAGTCTGCCACAGTTATATCAGTTGACCAAAGGTGAATACTAATGACAATTGAAGTCGAAAGAGAGAGATTATTAGTTAAAATGATTCAGATAGAGTTCATGAATAAAATAGAACTTGAATAGAACCTTTAAGAATATGTGGAATTTTGGCCAGCCGCAGAAGCTTATGCCTGTAATCCCAGCACTTTGGGAGGCCGAGGCGGGCAGATCACTTGAGGCCAGGGGTTCAAGACCAGCCTGGCCAATATGGTGAAACCCCATCTCTACCAAAAATACAAAAATTAGCCAAGCGTGGCGGCACACAACTTTAATTCCAGCTATTTGGGAGGCTGAGGCAGGAGAATCGCTTGAAGCCAGGAGGTGGAGGTTGCAGTGAGGCAAGATCATGCCACTGCATTCCAGCCTGGGTGATAGAGTGACACTCCATCTCAAAAAAATAAAAAAAAAAATAAAAAGAATATGTGGAAAGAATATGTGGAATTCAGTTCAGTGGAGAGATGAGGAAAGACTAATGCAAGCATTCACTTACTAAATTAAATGCAGGCAATAAATGTTTAAAAATCCTTAAAGTAAATATGTAATAACAGATAGAGTTAAGTGTTAAGACAAAAAAATCAGAGTGGTATAAGTGGGAATAATGTGGGGGGTTAATTTAGATTGGAGTGGCAGGGAATGCCTACCTGATGAAGTACTATATAAGCTGATTTCTAAGAATCAGTGGAATTTCATCAGTGTAAGGTGTTCTTTCTTCATAGTGTTTTCTAATTAGTGCTATGAGTCAGATTGAAATAAGATTATACTGAGAATTGTCAAGGAAACTTCATGAGTTTGTGGTATTAGAAAGCACATAACTTGAGTTTGAGCCATGATTTGCTCCCTGACTCTCTGTGGCACTCTGAAGAAGCTATGCAACTTCGGTGTTTTGCAGTTATCTTACTAACATATGAGAGGACAAGGGCCAGAATTCTAGCTGCTTCAAAATGATAGATGAATATCTAATTCTAAAATTGAGTGACAATGTTGTAATACAATTTGATATATTGGAAAAAGTTTTTGCTTAATATAAAATTAAACAAAGAAAGGAAGAACCACACACCGATACTCAATTTACTAATCTATGAGGAATCAGTTTATCAGATTTGATTCACGCATGCACATATGTGTGTGTTAACAACTGCTTTTAAAATTTTTATGTATCTCTTCTATGCATTAAATTGGCTTATGCATTAAATTATTTCTACCTTGCCCTCTTAATGTATAAAACCATCTTCATTAGAGATATTACTTCAAATAAAATGAATTTTTCTTTTGGCTTGCTTTTACTTATTATACAGCAGTGCACTTATGATAAATATTTTTAACATCTCCAAAAAAATCTTAAAGAAAGCAATCAAATGTGTGAATTCTATATGCTCCCTTTATGATCCTCTGTGCTAGAATATGACAATAAAGTTCTAAGGCACGGCAGAATAAAAAAAATACAATAACCTTGGGTACCTGAAAAGCCACTCACCTGCCAACAACATCTGTCCTGGGAGGCTATATGAGCCAGAAATATATTTCTGTTGCATTTGAATATTACACTTTGTAATTTATACTTGTTACCACCTTATAATTTTATTTAATAGTTTCATGTGTTTGTTTCATTTGCCCACCTAGATCATTGCTTTAAGTTGAAGAGAAACAGGTTAGGGCTTTCTAAATTGTGAGCTTTATAATGACACTAATTTAATTTCAAACATATTTTATGTGACTCATAGTGTTAAACATGGCAATAAGCACAAAAAATAGCAAAATTATATCCAAATAAAAAAGAAAAATTTGTATAATTATATTGCATCATATTGGTCTCATATCGGTCAGCTGTTAAACCTAGCTGTTCCGTCAACTCAATTTATGGTATTTTCTCTGACTTATCTTAATTTATTTCATTCTGGATCCCAATCTTTATTCCCATTTCTACCTAGTTTTAGACGTTTTGACTATGTCTAAAGTATCTTTGCTAGAACTCTTCCTCTTATATTTGATTAGAGAAGTTAGCTCCTCCAAATTTGATCCCTGGAGCTGGGCATGGTGACTCATCCTGTAATCACAGAACTTTGGGAGGGCGAAGCCAGCAGATCACCAGAGGTCAGGAGTTTGAGACCAGCCTGGCCAACATGGTGAAACCCCGTCTCTACTAAACATACAAAAATTAGCCAGGTGTGGTGGTGGGCACCTGTAATCCCAGGTACTCAGGATGCTGAGGCAGCAGAATCACTTGAATATGGGAGGCAGAGGTTGCAGTGAGCTGAGATAGTGCCATTACACTCTAGCCTGGACAACAGAGCAACACTCCATCTCAAATTCAAAAAAGAAAATGATTCCTGGAGCTCTGTATGACATAACATATATAACTTTTGGCTGTTGTACTTTCTGGTTTCAGTTCAGATACCTATCCTTTCAGCTCTATTCCTTGGCAATCCATCATGATACCTGCCTTGGCTATTGCTCCTGAGCTGGCTAAACCCGCTTAAAAATTTGAGGGTGTAGGAGAGACAAGCAAAATATTGTTTAGATTTGATTGTTTAGATGGCTTCAGCAGAAATTTTGTTTAACTGACAACCTCTGAAGAATATTTATCTCTTGATGTTTGCAGTTTTCACAATATCAAATATATATGCAATTTTTTTTTTTTTTTTTTTTTAGACGGAGTCTCCCTCTGTCATCCAGGCTGGAGTGCAGTAGCGTGATCTCGGCTCACTGCAACCTCCGCCTCCTGGGTTCAAGTGATTCTCCCTGCCTCAGCCTCCCATGTAGCTGGGATTACAGGCACCCGCCACCATGCCCAGCTAATATTTGTATTTGTGTGTGTGTGTGTGTGTGTGTGTGTGTGTGTGTGTATTTTTTTTCTTTTCTTTTTTGAGACACAGTCTCGCTCTGTCGCCCAGACTGGAGTGCAGTGGCATGATCTCGGCTCATTGCAAACTCCACCTCCTGGGTTCAAACAGTTCTCTACCTCAGCCACACAAATAGCTGGGATTACAGGCGCCTGCCACCACGCCCAGCTAATTTGTTTGTATTTTTAGTAGAGACGGGGTTTCATCATCTTGGCCAGACTGGTCTTGAACTCCTGACCTCGTGATTCACCCTCCTTGGCCTCCCAAAGTGCTGGGATTACAGGCGTGAGCCACCACCTCCGGCCTAATTTTTGTATTTTTAGTAGAGACAAGGTTTTGCGACGTTGGCCAGGCTGGTTTCGAACTCCTGACCTTAGGTGATCCGCCCACCTCAGCCTCCCAAAGTACTGGGATTACAGGCATGAGCCACTGTGCCCAGGGTATATATGCAAATTTAAAGTAAAAAGTATAGACTATTCAGAACAGTGGGAGAAAAAATATATTTTGTTTACCTGGATATTTGATTACAATTTGAAAAGATATGCTTTTTGGTATAAGGCTAGATCATGAATGGTGACTTCTAAGCACCTTACATGCTGAACCAGAAAACCGAAGTCAATTTGAAGCATTTGAAATTGAAGATATGAGGAACATGCTATTATACACAGTGTAGATTTATGCAATTTTATGACTTTTTAATGACATTTTTGACCATATAATTCTGCACAGTTGAAGTTTATGCTGATTAAATTAGAGAATACAAAACTCAACAGATTTTATCCATAAACCATGCATTTTATTAGAAATAATGAAACTAACCTCTGATTTTACTGGCCACATGCATATAATTTGCTTGTAATTATGTTAAAAAGCTTTTGATATAACTATTACTAATAAATTCTTACATTGGCATTTAGGGCCCAAAGCCTTAAATTAAAATGAAATTAACCCACTTTTCCCTTTTCCCATTTTTAGCCACATTCTGTATAATAATGATGTTGATGATTGTTCTAAATTCGCAAGAGCCAATAAAAGACTATCAAAACATCAACCTTCCTCTAACATCACATTTGGTGATTACTATTGATGTAAATCCCAGGAGACTCTATTAGCACACTGCAGATAAAAACATTACTGTGATATGAGATAGCAGTATGGGAGTTTTTTCTCCATAATGGCCTGTGTCATGAAGAAAATGTTTGGAACATTGAGATTCACATTGTCAAATCAAGTGCAAAGTAGGACTCAGAATATTCAAATGTTATAAATTGAGATAAGAAGTTACATAATGAGAAACTCTGAGTTAATCTTTTATGTTTATTTTAATCTGAAACTTATGTGGATTCTGGATTTGTAAAACATTAGTCTTAAAACATCCTTATAGGGATAATATTTTCTTTTTCAATCATGATCTTTTAGCTGTGTTGATACATAAAAAGAAAAGATGGAAGGAAACTTTTAAAATTAAAATTGAACCAAACCAGAACATTAACCTGTGGGTTAATATTAATCTAATCCTGGAAAGCTTTGTATTTTCAACTTTTAAATCTGCTTAAAATAACTAGCCTTTTTCTCTAGTTTTCTGCCATTATACCTATTTAAATATAAAAATATACATTACAGCATAGAACATAAATATCATAAATGTACACTCATGATGGAGGTTAAAGTTTATCTTAAATAGGAAAGAACCAAAGACTGAAAGATGAATTCACACAAAGAGGGTTATGCTATACATAGAAATAAGTAATATTTTAACCACAAAAAGGTCACTTTTATAAGTAATCACTAGGATAATGTCCATATAACTATTTTCCTGCCCCAAGAAAGCTTCAGGCCCAGGCCTTTCAGATCTCAAAAAAGGGGAAATCTCTGAAAATTACTGGTGGCTTGATAAAAGAGGTATATTTGATGTCCCGACAATGATGACTTATTATTTTTAAGAAAATGTGTCTAGCAATCACACTTCTTGTTGTATAGCTGAAGGAAATGAAATCAGTATCTCAAAGAGATATCCACATTCTCATGTTAATTGCAGCATTATTCGTAATAGTCAGGACATGAAAACAACCTAAGTGTTCATCTACAAATAAAACATGCTGTGTGTGTGTATACACATACATACATATATATGTATATATACTAGAATATTATTCAGCCTCTAAAAAAATATTCTGCCACTTGTGACAACACAGATGAACCTGGATAACATTAAGTTTAATGAAATAGCCAGATACAGAAAGGTAATTGTTGCTTATTATCCCTTACATGTGGAATTTAAAATAGTTAAACTTAGAGAGACAGAGAATATAATGGTGGTTGCCAGGAGCTATGGGGTGGGGGAATTTGGCAGATGTTGTTCAAAGGATACAAATTTTCAGTTATGAGATGAATAAGTTTTACTAGATAGCTAATATACAGCATAGTATATTAATACTATGTATATTAATATATTTAATACACTTATTAACTATATGATAGTTAATACACTTATTAACTATATGATAGTTAATACACATATTAACTATATGATAGTTAATACACATATTAACTATATGATAGTTAATACACATATTAACTATATGATAGTTAATACACATATTAACTATATGATAGTTAATACACATATTAACTATATGATAGTTAATACACATATTAACTATATGATAGTTAATACACATATTAACTATATGATAGTTAATACACATATTAACTATATGATAGTTAATACACATATTAACTATATGATAGTTAATATAGTATATTAATATAGTTAATAACATTGTATTGTATACTAGAAATTTGCTAAGAGAGTAGATCTTAAGTGTTCTCAACAGACACACAAAAATGGTAACAATGCAAGGTGATGTATATGTTAATTATCTTGATTGTTGGAATTATTACATGAGGTTATATCAAATACCACACTGTACACTTTAAACACATATAATGTTTTATTTCTCAGTTATTCTTCAACAAAGCTGTAAGAAATGTGTCTACTTGATGGGATTGAAGCTAAAAGTTAATGGTAAATATTTTAGTTAGATTTTGTCATTTTCACTATCATTATTAATATTTGGAGCTAATCACTCTAGCAAGCTTATAAAACTATAAATGGTTTATACAAGTGCCATAAGTATCAAAAGAAGCTGTAGTATTATGACCAGTTAATAATAATTTGGGTCTTTACTGGAAAGCATTAGATATAAATGAATTAGTGTAATGAACAGACTTGCAATAAACCAAGAATGACATAGATAGGTAAAGGAGAGCATAACTGGAAATCTGAAATGAAATATAATTATATCATATTAATAATGCTTATGGTATTTATAGTGAGCGGTATTAAATGTTATTAAAATTAAGTAGCTATAAAATTTTCTAAATAGATTAATGCAATCATTGCATTAGGAAACTTGATCACTGTGTCCAAAAATGGAGCTATTGATTACTTCAGTATGAATAATCACTTATAATAATATAGTTAAATTGCCTATAGATAATATTTGAAGAAAAATGTCTTGTTAATGATTGTACAGAGGATGGAAAATACAGAGATCTGTTCAGATTGCAGTTAAGGAATCAAATAACATTTTTTAAAAAATTAAATTTTATTTGTTTGCTTGCTAAATCCTACATAATATTAGTAATGCAGCATAGCAAAGGCTATGCTATTAAAAAATGTGTATACTTGTCTAAATTCCTAACATAGGGAAAACAGTTTCTCTTACCTTTCCCTTCTCACTTAAAACAACTACACAAACATAAGTCAGTCAATAGAATGGTTATTAGTATCATTTTATGCTAACAAATTAAGATTACCTAAATAAAATTTTATACATATTTATCTACTGAAAAGTTTCAAAGTTTTCTGTACAAAGAGAAAGCATGCTCTTGGTAAGAGGAATTATACAACTTGTATTTGGGGGAGAATAGTTCAGAGTTGAAGGGCAGACCTAGATTAAGAAAAGTGGAAGAATAAATAAATAACTCTAAAGTGTGAATAATCAAAAAATATTTTATTAAATTCAAGATGTAGATCATAACATATTAGTTTAGGGTATAAATCGTTTTGATGAAAAATTATTCTATTTAATGAAAATGAGTCACAGACAGATGGAAGTCTCTGTTGAAAATATCACAACCCTCATGGAAGTCCAGGAAAAGGTGGTGACAATAAATACAGAGAAAAAGTAAAGACCTTTCTATTAGTCTGTTTTCACATGGCTATAGAGAAATAATTGAGACTGGGTAATATATAAAAGAAAGAGGTTTGACTCACAGCTCCCCATGGCTAGTGAGGCCTCAGGAAACTTATAGTCATGGTGGAAGGTGAAAGGGAAGCAAGCTTGGACCTTTTTACATGGCAGCAAGAGAAAGAAGTGTGTGAAGCAAAGGGGAAGCAAAGGTGAAGCAAAGGGGGAAGAACCCCTTATAAAACCATCAGATCTCATGAGAACTCACTCACTATCACAAGAACAGCATAGAAGAATCACCCCCAGGATTCAATCCCCTCCCACCAGGTTCCTCTCCAGACATGTGGGGAGTATGAGGATTACACTTAGAGATGAGATTTGGGTGGAGGCACAGATCCAAACCATGTAAACCTTTTTACTCAATTTTACACATCATTTGCTGTAATTACACTGATTCCTTCATTAAATTGATATTTTCCAATATCACCAGACAGTCTGAAGGACTCAAAATTATTTTATGTTAACTGAGTTTTTCAAACTAAGTCATGGGTGAATTTTATAGTGTAAACTGCTGCTATTTTAACCTGCTTAATAAATGTTATGTCTGTTAAAATTTTGATTTTTTTGAAACTGGAGCTTTCATTATCACTTTGATTAAAAAGTTTAAAACTGTTTTTTCTCCCAAAACCTCTCTAGTAAAAAACAATCAAAAAGTCAAACCCTAAATCAAGAAAGGTAAATTTTCACAGGTGAATGATAGGGGCACTTTATAAATGGAAATATTAATAAGAATGTCCTCAGCATTCTAGAATTGTGTCAAAAGGCAACATACTGATAATACCTTTATGTTATTGCAAGCTTCATCTTTTAATATTAGTTGTAAATTTAAATTTTCCTGAATATATTGTTATAAATACTCATTGAGATATTTCTTCTATGCAATCTACCCAATATTGGTTAAAAACAAAAATTTTAATTGCAAAATCACTGAAAACCAATATCAGTAATATAAGTAACTTGTACATAGAGATAAATGCTATATTTATCTTGCTTTTCAAAATCCATCAACTGTTTTCTCTTTATTATAATTGCATTTGTTTATCTGTCTTTTAGTAAAGTACTATCTGCATTTAGTAAGTTGTAACTTGTAAAGTATTTTTAGTGTTTTACAAGATAATCTTAGTTTAGATTGTTGGTGAGCTGGTTCTAGAAAAAATAAATCCAGAAAGCAACTTATATTACAAATGAAATGTCGAAATGAATTAAAATAAACATTAGGCATGAAAATGAGAAGAAAATTTTAAATACGAGGTGCAAGCTACAGTATTTTATACAAAAAATTATAGTTTGTTTTATGTTTTACAAAAATGTTTAATTTTTAAAGATGCTTAATTGGCAAATAATATTTTTAAAAATTCTACTGTATTTTATCACTATTGCTAGGGCATATTTTAGGTATAAAATTATTCACAAGATATAAATACTCCACACTCCCTGGGAAAATTTTTGAAACATATTCTTTACATATTAGTGACAGTTTGTGAAGATGAGACTTGCTAATCATAGTTTAATATTGTGATTTCTCATTTCCTTTTGTTTACCTAAGGAGATGCATAATACTACATTTAGTTCTATCCAAATTATAGCTGATTCAAATAATGGGGTTAGCATTTTGTAGAGATTTCCTTTCATAAAATCATTGAGATCCCTGTTATTTATTTTAGTTTTAAAATTTATAAGGAAAGTAGGTAAGCTGCATTCAAGGAATTAATTAGAAATATCAAAAACAGTACTCACAGAAATCTTTTAAGTTGTTTTGAAAATAATGGTGCCTAGAAGCATTACTGAAGCCATTTTTGAGGTAAATTATGCTGATTTTACATAATCATTATCTATATCTACAAAACATTAACTTTTTTATGTATGTTTTTGTATATACATATATTACAGATTTCAAAAAGGGGTTCATGAATAAATTACCAATTTTACTGGTTTCACAATTACTATAATTCAGCAAGTCAAAGTGCAATGAAAACAATTATTATTTATAAGCAGGATTGTTTGGAATATATATTTTGTTTTTTGGGTGTGTAAAAATCAAATATTTCTGTAACAAAAGGTTGCTTCAGGATTTACAAAGAGTGTTTGAAATATAGTCTATAGTGTTTTAATGCCACATTTCTAAACTTCATCCAGAAGTTCATATAATTGATTCAGATAAAGGTGTTTATTTTAATTTATAAAGGTATTTATTTTAAATCTAAAGAGTAAATTAAATAGTTATTTGAGATTATTTCTTCTGTAAGTCCTTGAAAGCGTCTGAATCTGTTGTTAAATAAACATGTAGGGTAGTTAGAAAAAATCAATAACCATTCTCATGATACTCTCACTTTATTTTAAACCATTCACCTGGAACCTGCTAGGGTTCATGATAATTTTTATTATTATATAATTCTACATTATTTTGCTTACATTTAATCTCTAGTTTCTATGCATAAATACATTTAATATTGAAATACAAATCACACTGAGAAATATAAAATGATAATCATGCAAATTAAGATGACCTTAATCACATCCAAAAATTCATTAACAAAATCAAAATCGTATGCCAAGCATATACATGAATTTCTAGCGATTATAGGAAATGCAAAGAGTGAAAATGTATTGCAAAAGAAAGTTATATATCATGTCACTATTTTATTCAATTAAAGATGGCTCACACCCATAACATTTTTGTCATAAATCTTAAACCTAAATATTCTATCCTGTAATTTGCAAATAAAACATGATTATATAAAAATTAATTTAATTCTTAAAATGTGAAATACATGAGTAACAAACGTTAAATCCTAAAATAATTTTATTGCTAGAAGAGCCAAGATTGCTGAGTAGACTTCCAGGAAGAGCTTTTCCCATCAAGACAAACTAGATCATCAAGTAGACTGGCACACTATGAACATATCTTTGGAAATAAGGCATTGGAATGTGGATATGGGGAATACGCAGCCCCTGGGGTTAAATGAGGAGGAATCTTGGAACTCTACACAGGATTGATAAGCACCAGGACTTATTCATGGTGCTGAGCAGCTCCTAGAGAAGGAGTGAGTAAAATAGGCTTGGAGCAGCCCACTCTCACCATGGGCCTCTGGGATCCAACTGCAGGAGATTCTATAGCCCCTACAGACAATTGAGTTGGCAGAGGGAATTCTACAGAGAGTTGGGAGAGACAAAACTCAAGTCTGCACAGAGCCTAGAGAGTTTGGTGAAGAAACAGGGGCAGTGGAGCATGACCATGGGTGACCATTCTCCAAGGCTTGTCATATTCCCTTGGTGGCTTTTAACCTGTGTTAGGAGCTGTACCTGGAGAGAGCAGGGCTGTCTTGCCTGCAAGATGGAGGCAGGAGTGTTGAGCTGAGCACTGACCCCTGAAATCATCCAGAAATAAAACCAATCAACTGAAACCAACTTAAACCACTGTCAAACAATAAAGGGTGTCAAATATTATAAAAGAAAAAAGCACCAATCAAAAGACAGCAAATGCAAACATTAAAGAAACATCAGCTCACATCGATGAGAAACTATCAGCAAAAGAATTCTGGCAACTCCAAAAGCCAGAGTGACTTCTTACCTCCAAATGACTGCACTAGCTTCCCAACCATGGTTCTTAACCAGAAAAATGACTAAAATGACAGACAAAGAACTCAGAATCCAGATGCATGATCAAGAAGATGGATGAGAATTTTGAAACCCAATCCAAAGAAAGCAGTTGATATGGTTTGGATTGTGTGCCCACCCAAATCTCATGACAAATTGGAAGAAGACAGGTCTGGTCACAGGTGATTGGATCATGGGGGTAAATATCCCCCTTGCGGTTCTTATGCTAGTGAGTGAGTTCTCATGAGATTTGATAATTTAAAAGAGTGTAGCACTTCACTCCCTACTCTTTATTTCTCTCCTGCCACCATGTGAAGTAGGTGCTTGTTTCCTCTTCCCCTTCTGCTATGATTGTAAGTTTCCTAAGGTCTCCCAGTCATGCTTCCTGTTATGCCTGCTGAACTGTGAGTCAATTAGACCTCTTTTCTTCATAAATTACCCAGTTTCACATAGTTCTTTACAGCAGTGTGAAAACAGACTAATATAGAAAATTGAAACCAGGGCAAGGCATGATGGTTCATGCCAGTAATCTCAGCACCTTGGGAGGTCAAGGCAGCAGGATCACTTGTAGTCAGGAGATCAAGACCAGCAGGGCGAACATGGTTAAACCCCATCTCTGCAAAAAAATACAAAAATTAGTCAGGTGTGGTGGCACGCTTCTGTAATCCCAGCTACTAGGGAGGCTGAGGTACGATAATCACTTGAACCTGGTAGGCAGGGGTTGCAGTGAGCCAAGGTCACACCACTGCACTCCTGGGCAATGGAACAAGACTCTGTTTCAAAAAAAAAAAAAAAGGAAGGAAGGAAGAAGGAAAGAAGGAAAGAAGGAAAGGAGGAAAGAAGGAAAGAAAGAGAGAAAAAAGAAAGAAAGAAAGAAAGAAAGAAAGAAAGAAAGAAAGAAAGAAAGAAAGAAAGAAAGGAAAGAAAATTGAAACCAGGAGTGAGGCACTGCTATAAAGATACCTGAAAATGTGGAAGCAACTTTGGAACTGGGCAACAGGCAGAGACTGAAACAGTTTGGAGGGCTCAGAAGAAGACAGAAATATGTAGGTATGTTTGGAACTTCCTAGAGACTTGTTGAATGGTTTTGACCAAAATGATGATAGGATATAGACAGTGAAGTCCAAGCTGAGGTAGTCTCAGATAGAGATGAGAAACTAATTGGGAACTGAAGTAAAGGTCACTCTTGCTATGCTTTAGCAAAGAGACTGGCAGCATTTTGCTTTTTGCTTTTGCCCTAGAGATCTGTGGAACTTTGAACTTGAAAGCGATGATTTAGGGTGCCTGGAGGAAGAAATTTATAAGCAGCAATGCATTCAAAATATGACCTAGCTGTTTCTAAAAGTGTAGGCTCATATGCATTGACAAAGACATTCTCTGAAACTGGAATTTATATTTAAAAGGGAAGCAGGGCATAAAAGTTTGGAAAATTTGCAGCCCAGCCATGTGGCAGAAAAGAAAATCCCATTTTAGGAATCTAATTAAACTAAGGAGCTTCTGCTCAGCAAAAGAAACTCATCAGAGTGAACAGGCAACCTACAGAATGGGAGAAAATTTTTCCAATCTACCCATCTTACAAAGGTCTAATATCCAGAATCTACAAGGAACTTAAACAAATTTATGAGAAAGAAAACAACAACCCTATCAAAAAGTGGGCAAACGATATGAACAGACACTTATCAAAAGAAGACAATTATGCAGCCAACAAACATATGAAAAAAAGCTCTTCATCACTGGTCATTAGAGAAATGCAAATCAAAACCATGATGAGATATCATTTCATGCCAGTTAGAATGGCAATCATTAAAAAGACAGGAAACAACAGACTCTGGAGAGGATGTGGAGAAATAGGAACACTTTTACACTGATGGTGGGAGTGTAAATTAGTCCAACCATTGTGGAAGACAGTGTGGCAATTCCTCAATGATCTAGAAGCAGAAATATCATTTGACCCAGCAATCCCATTACTGGGTATATACCCAAAGGATCATAAATCATGCTGCTATAAAGATACATGCACATGTATGTTTATTGCAGCACTATTTATAATAGCAAAGACTTGGAACCAACCCAAATGCCCATCAGTAATAGACTGGATA
This sequence comes from Homo sapiens, assembly GCF_000001405.40. Taxonomy (NCBI): domain Eukaryota; kingdom Metazoa; phylum Chordata; class Mammalia; order Primates; family Hominidae; genus Homo; species Homo sapiens. Next base: position 87,765,043 of record NC_000023.11, on the reverse strand, counting down.
AAGAAAACATGGCACATATACACCATGAAATACTATGCAGCCATAAGAAAGAATAAGTTCATGTCCTTTGCAGGGACATGCATGAAACTGGAAGCCATCATTCTCAGCAAACTAACACAGGAACAGAAAACCAAACACTGCATGTTCTCACTCATAAGTGGGAGTTGAATTATGAGAACACATGGACACAGGGAGGGGAACATCACACACAGGGGCCTGTTGGGGGGTGAAGGGAAAGGAGAGGGAGAGCATTAGGACAAATATCTTATGCATGCTGGGCTTAAAACCTAGAAGACAGGTTGATAGGTGCAGCAAACTTGTATACCTATGTAACAAACCTGCACATTCTGCACATGTATCCCAGAACTTAAAGTAGAATATATATAAAGAAAATCCCATTTTCTGGGGGAGGAATTCAAGCCAGCTGCAGAAATTTGCATAAGTAAAGAGGAGACAAATGTTAATAGCCAAGACAATGGGGAAAATGTTTCCAGGACATTTTAGGGACCTTCACAGCAGCCCCTCCCATCACAGGCCCAGAGGCCTAGGAAGGAAAAATGGTTTCAAGGGCCAGGCCAATATCCCAGCTGCTCTGTGCAGCCTTGGGACATGTTGCCCTGTGTCCCAGCCACTCCACCTCCAGCTCTGGCTAAAAAGGGCCAAGGTGCAGCTCAGGCCATGGCTTCAGAGGGTGCAAGCCCCAAGCCTTGGCAGTCTCTAAGTGGTGTTGGGCCTGTGGGTACACAGAAGGCAAGAGTTGAGATTGGGAACCTAGATTTCACAGGGTGTATGGAAACACCTGGATGTCCACACAGAAGTCTGCTGTGGAGGTGGAGCCCTTATGGAAAACCTCTACTAGGACAACGTGGAGGGCACATGTGGGTTTGGAGCCCTCATACAGAGTCCCCACTGGGGCACTGCCTAGTAGAGCTGTGAAAAGAGGGCCACCACTGTCCAAACCCCAAATTGGCAGATCCACTTACAGCTTGCACTGTGCATCTGGAGAAGCTACAGGTACTCAAAGTCAGACACAAAAGCAGCCATGAGGACTGTACACAGCAGAGCCACAGAGGTGGAGCTTCCCAAGGCCTTGGGAGCCCACCCCTTGCAACAGTGTGCCCTGCATGTGAGAAATATAGTCAAAGGAAATTAATTTAAATCTTTAAGATTTAATGACTGCCTTGCTGGGTTTTGGACTTGCATGGGTCCTGTATCCCCTTGGTTTTGGCAAATTTCTCCCATTTGGAACAGGAGCATTTACCCAATGCTTTTGCCCCCGTTGCATCTAACTAACTTCTTTATGATTTAACAACAAGGCAAGGAAAAAGGGACTTGCCTTGTGTCAGTCAAAAATGACACATTGGACTTGGACTATTCGGTTGATGCTGGAATGAGTAAAGACTTTGGGGGACTGTTGGGAAAGCATGATTGTGTTTTGAAATGTGACAAGGACATGAGATTTGGGAGGGACCAGGGGTGGAATGATATGGTTTGGGTTTGTGTTCTTACCAAAATCTCATGCCAAATTGGAAGAGGAGCCTGGCAGGAAGTGATTGGATCATGGGGACGGACTGCCCCTTTACTCTTCTTATAATAGTGAGTGAGTTCTCACAAGATCTGATGAATTTTTGTCTGTTTGCTTGTTTATGTGTTTTGAGATGGTGTCTCACTCTGCCACCCAGGCTGGAGTGCAGTGTTGTGATCTCAGTTCAGTGCAAACTCTGCCTCCCAGGTTCAAGTGATTCTCCAGCCTAAGTCCCTCAAGTAACTGGGATTACAGGTGACTGCCACCACGCACAGCTAACTTCTGTACTTTTTTTTTTGAGACCGAGTCTCACTCTGTAGCCCAGGCTGGAGTGCAGTGGCACAATCTCAGCTCACTGCAAGCTCTGCCTCCTGGGTTCACACCATTCTCCTGCCTCAGCCTCTCAAGTAGCTGGGACTACAGGTGCCCACCACCACACCCAGCTAACTTTTTTTTTTTGTATTTTTAGTAGAGACAGGGTTTCACCATGTTAACTAGGATGGTCTCGATCTCCTGACCTCATGATCCACCTGTCTCGGCCTCCCAAAGTGTTGGGATTACAGGCGTGAGCCACTGCTCCTGGCCTAACTTTTGTATTTTTAGTAGAGATGGGGTTTTACCATGTTGGCCAGGCTGGTCTTGAATTCCTGGCCTCAAGTGACCCTCCCAAGTTGGCCTCCCAAAGTGCTGGGATTACAGGCATGAGCCACCACACCCAGTATGATAGTTTAAAAGTGTGTGGCACATCCCCCTTTACTCTCTCCCTCTATCTCTCTCCTGCCACCCTGTGAAGAATGTCTTTGCTTTTCCTTCACCTTTCACTATAACTGTAACTTTCCTGATGCCTCCCAGTTATGCTTCCTGTTAAGCCTACTTAACTGTGAGTCAATTAAACCGCATTTCTTCATACATTATCCAGTCTCAGGTAGTTCTTTATAGCAATGAAATAATACAGCAGTAAAATGATTCAAGAGTTGAAAGATGACATAAGCATTTAAAGAAACAACCAAACTGAACTTCTGTAACTGAAATATTCACCAAAAGAATTTCATAATGCAAGCAGAAGCACAAAAAAAAAAAAAATAGAAAAAGAGGCCAGGCACAGTGGCTCATGCCTGTAATCCTAGCACTTTGGGAGGCCGAGACAGGTGGATTGCCTTAGCTCAGGAGTTTGAGACCAGCCTGGGCAACATGGTGAAACCCCGTCTCTACTGAAATACAAAAAAATTAGCTGGGCATGGTGGCATGCACTTGTCATCCCAGCTACCCGGCAGGCTGAGGCAGGAGAATCACTTGAACCTAGGAGGCGGAGGTTGCAGGGAGCCGAGATCACGCCACTGCACTCTAGCCTGGGTGACAGAGCAAGACTCTGTCTCAAAAAAAAAAAAAAATAGAAAAATGTTAGGAAAGAATCTCAGAGCTCAAATACTGCTCCTTTGAATCAATGCAAGCAGACAAAAATGAAGAAAAAGATTTAAAAAGGTACAAAACCTCTGAAAAATTATGGGACTATATAAAGAGACCTAACCTATGACCACTGAAATTTATGAAAGAGAGGAAGATAGAGTGAGAAACTTGGGGAACATATTTAAGAATATTGTTCACAAAAATTTCCTCAAACTTACTGGAGAGGCTGACATGTCTCTCTGAAGTCAGGAAATTCACAGAACAACTGAGAGATACTCTACAACATGACCATCCCAAAACATGAAATCATGAGATTATCCAAGTTCAATGCATAAGAAAAAATATTAATGATAGCTAAAAAGAAGAGGCAGGTCTCATATAAAGGGAACCCCATTAGGCTAAGAGCAGATATTTTAACAAAAACCTTATGACCCAGAAGAGATTGGAAGCATGTTTAAAGAAATAAAATTTTAATCAAAAAATTTTATATTCAATCAAATGAATCTTCATAAACAAAGAGGAAATAAAATCCTTTTCAAACAAATGAATGCCAAGGTAATTTATTACCACCAGACGTGCCTTGCAACAGGTCCTTAAGGGAGTACTAAACATAGAAACAAAAGATCTGTACCTGCCACCACAAAAATATACTTAAGTACATAGCCCATTGACAGTATAAAGCAATTACACAATCAAGTCTACATAACAATCAGCTAACAATACAGTGGCAAAATCAAATTCACACGTATAAATATTAACCTTAAATGTAAACAGGCTAAACATCCCACTTAAAAGACATAGAGTGGCAAAGTAGATAAAGAAGCAAGATCAACTCTGTGCCATCTTCAAGAGACCCTTCTCATATGCAATGACATATATAGGCTCAATGTAAAAAGATGAAGAAAGAACTATCAAGCAACAGAAAACAAAAAAGAGCAGGGCATGCTAGCTTCTTTCAGACAAAATAAACTTTAAACCAACAATTATTAAAAAGAGAAAAGAATGGCATTACATAATGATAAAGGGTTAAATTCAACAAGGAGACTTAACTTTCCTAAATGTATATGCACCCAACACTGAAACACTCTGATTTATAAAACAAGTTCTTAGGCACCTATGAAAAAGCTTATATAATCACACAATAATAGTGGAAGACTACAACATCCCACTGACAGTATTAGATCATCAAGGCAGAAAAGTAACAAAGATATTCAGGACCTAAACTTGACACTTGATCAAATGAACATAACAAACATCTACAGAATACTCTACACAACAACAGAATATAAATTCTTCCCATTTGCACATGGCACATACTCTGAGATTGACTACATACTTAGCTATAAAGTAATATCCCACAATTTTTTTAAAAGCTGAAATCATAACAACCACATTCTCAGACTACAGCACAATAAAAATATAAATCAATACAAAGAACATACCTTGAAACCATACAACTACATAAAAATTAAACAACTTGTTTCTGAATGACTTTTGAGTGAACAATAAAATTAAGGCTGAAATCAAGAAATTTTTTTAAACTAATGAAAACAATATAAAACATACAAGAATCTCTGGGACACATATAAAGCAGAGTTAAAAGAAAAGTTGATAGTATTAAATACCCACATCAGAAAGTTAGAAAGATCGCTAGTGAGCAACGTAAAATCACACCTGCAAGGACTAGAAGAACAAGAACAAATCAACCCTAAAGCTAGAAGTAGAAAATTACTAAAATCAGAGCTGAACTGAATAAAATTGAGACAGGAGAATGTATAAAAGAGATCAATGAAATAAAGAGTTGTTTCTTCACAAGAATAAAAAGAATTGATAGGCCAGTAGGTAAATTGATATGGAGAAAAAAAAAGAATGTCCAAATAAACACTATCAGAAGTGACAAATGGGGAAGTTACCACTGGACCCACAAAAATACAAAAATACCTCAGAGACTATTATGAGCACATAATAACACATGATAATCTCAATAGATGCAGAAAAGGGTTTCAATAAAATTTAATATCCCTCCATATTAATAGCACTCAACAAACTAGGCATTGAAGAAACACACCTCAAATAATATGAGCCACCTATGACAAACCCACAGCCAACATCTTACTGAATGACTGAAAACTGGAACCATCCTCCTGGAGAACCAGAACAAGCCAAGGATGCTCACTCCCAGCACTCATATTACCAATAGTTCTGGAAATCCTAGCCAAAGAAATCAGAAAAATAAAGAAATAAAAGACATCCAAATAGGAAGAATGGAAGGCAATCTATCTCTCTTCACAGACAATATGATTCTATACCTATAAAACCTCATGGTCTCTTCCCAAACGCTCTTAGAACTGATAAACAACTTCAGTAAAGTTTCAAGATACAAGGTTAATGTACAAAAACTAGTAGCATTTCTGTACAACAATAATAATAATAATAATAAGCTGAGAGCCACATCAAGAAACTAATAACATTCACAATAGCCACAAAAAAGAATAAAATACCTATAAACACAACTAATTAGGTAAGTGAAAGCTCTCTACAATCAGAATTACATAACACTGCTGAAAGAAGTAAGAGACAACCCAAATGCAAATCCATTCTCATGAATTAAAAGAATCAATATTTTTTAAATGACTATACTTTTTATGGCTGAATAGTACTCCATTGTGTATATGTACCACATTTGCTTTATCCTTTTGTCTGTTGATGGACACTTTGGTTACTTTCAAATTTCAGCTATTGTGAACATTATTGAAACAAATGTGGGAGTGCAGATATCTCTTTGATATACTGATTTCCTTTGTTTTAGGCATATGCCCAGCAGTGGGATTGCTGGATGATATGGTAGCTCTATTTTTAATTTTTTGAGAACCTCCAAACTGTTTTACACAGTGGTCATACTAATTTGCATACTCACAAAAATTAAAAATTAAAAAAAAATGTAGCTATACTATCCAAAGCAATTTATGGGTTCAGTGCTGTTCTTAACAAACTACCAATGCCATTTTTCACAGAATTAGAACAAACTAATCTAAAATTCATATGGAACCAAAAATAGTCTGAATAGTCAAAACAATCCTAAGCTAGAAGAACAGAGCTGGAAACATCACTTTACTCAACTTCAATCTGTATTAGGAGGTTACGGTATCCAAAACAGCATGATATTGGTACGAAAACAGACACATAGACCAAAGGAACAGGCTACAGACCCATAAATAAAGCCGCTCACCTACAACCATCTGATCTTCAACAGCTTCAACAATGACTAGCAATAAGCAATGAATTCCCCATTCAATAAATGGTGTTGAGGTAACTAGCTAGCCATATGCAGATAATTGAAATGGCACACAGACTAGAAAAGAACCTAGGAGTCATGATGGCAGGAGTAGTCAGAGGAATTCTCCACTTATCCCTTCCTTTTACCATATACAAAAATTAAACCAACGTGGATTAAATAGTTAAATCTAAAACCTAAAACTATAAAAACCCTAGAAGAAAACCTAGGAAATACCATTCTGGAATAGGACTTGGCAAAGATTTCATGACAAAGTATCCAAAAGCAATTGCAACAATGCAAAAATAGACACATGGGACCTAACCATAAAAAAAAGCTTGTGTACAGAAAAATAAACTATGAACAGGGTAAACAAACAACCTACAAAATGGGCAAAATATTTCCAAACTAGGCATCTGACAAAAGTGTAATTTCCAGAATCTATAAGGAACTTAAATCGACAAGCACAAAACGAACAACCCCATTGAAAAATGGCCAAAAAAAATGAACATTCTCCTCAAAAGACATACATGTGGCCAACAAGCATATGAGAAAATGCTCAACATCACTAATTATTAAAGAAATGCAAATCAAAACCACAATGAGATACCATTTCACATCAGTCAGGATGGCTATTATCAAAAAGTCAAAAAATAACAGATGGTGGAGAGGTTGCAGAGAAAAGAGAATGTTTATACAATTTTACTCAAAATGTAAATGAGTTCAGCCACCAAAAGCAGTTCGGAGGTTTCTCAAAAAATTTGAAATGAAGTTACTATTGGACCCAATGATCTCATTACTGTGTCTATACCTAAAGCAATATAAATCTTTCTACCAAAAAGACATACGCACTTGTTCACTGCAGCAATATTCACAATAGCAAGTCATTAAATCAACCTAGATGATCATCAATGGTAGGGTAGATAAAGAAAATATGGTACATATACATTATAGAATACTTTGCAACCTTAAAAAAATCATTTTCTTTGCAGCAACATGGATTCAGCTGGAGGCCATTATCCTAAGTGAATTAAGGCAGAAACAGAAAACCAAATACCACATGTTCTCACTTATAAGCGAGAGCTAATTTTATATATGATTTTTGGCCACAGGTGTGTCTTATTTTGAAAAGTGTTATGTCCTTTGCCCACTTTTTAATAGGGTTGTGTGTTTTTCTCTTGTAAATTGGTTTAAGTTCCTTATAAATGCTGGATGTTAGACCTCTGTCAGATGCATAGTTTGCAAAAATTTTCTTCTATTCTACAAGTTGTCTGTTTACTCTGTTGATAGTTTCTTTTGCTGTGCAAAAGCTCTTTAGTTTAATTAAATCCAATTTGTCAGTTTTTGCTTTGAGGTGCTAAAAGAAGAGAACACGTGAACACATGAGAGAAACAACACATACTGGGGCCATTCAGAGGGTGGAGAGCGGGAGGAGGGAGAGGATCAGGAAAAATAACTAATAAGTACTAGGCTCATTACCTTGGTAAAGAAATAATCTATACAACAAAGCCATATTACGAAAGTTTACCTGTGTAACAAACCTGCATTTGTACCCCTGAACCTAAACTAAAAGTTAAAAAGACCCATGAATATATTTATATTAAATATATAATATATATTTATGCCAATAAATAAGTGGGAGCTAATCACTGACTACACATAGACACAAAGATGCGAACAATAGACACCAGGGCCTCCTTGAACAGGGAACGAAGCAGGATGTGAGTGTTTTAAGTACAACCTATCAGGCACTGTGTTCACTACCTTGGTGAAGAAATTATTTGTACAGCAAAACTCAGTGCCACACAATTTACCCATGTAATAAGCCTGCATTTGTACCCCCTGAACCTAAAATAAAAATTAAAATAAAATAAAATATACTTTCAAAAAAATTAAATAAAATATAAAAAAAATTATTTATTTTTGGTGCAAAACCCAGAGTTAACTCTCTGTCTCTTTGTTACTATACATTATGTCCCAAAAGCAAGCACAATTTTTTCAATAAATCATACTTGTGCTTGCATAATACAAATGAAATAACATGTGAGTGTTGAATAATCTGAATTGACTTGCTCATCAGCCATCCTAACCTTCTAATGTGCATTGCTGTATTGCGAGTCTGAAAAGCTAAAAATTATCATTTTCCTATTCTGCTTACAGCAGAGATATGAATTTGTTTATCCAATCAGATACATATACATAAATTTTAATTTGAAAATGAGTTTAGTGGAGAAAAATTTATGCAAGTTTTAAGACATCCATTTGGCTAGTGAAAATGGTAGAATAGGCAACATGGGTCCTTGGCCATCAACCTTCTTATTCAGAAGCAATGGCAGCTTAAATGAGATAGTTTATGTCTCTCTCATGCAAACAAAGACAAAGTAGGCAGTTAAAGGACAAAGTTGAGGCAGGAGAATCGGGTCTGAAGGCAGAGAACTTAAGACTGATTCATGCTGACTTCCTAGAACTGAATCAAAAGGAAAACCCTACATCTCCCCCCAAGTGACAAAAGGATCAGAGGCTACTCCCTTTGCACCCCCACCCCCTTTTCTACTGAGTCTGGTCATGTGCCATGTCCCCATGTGTAACTTTGTAATTTCACTTCAGCCTCCGATTGGTTGTCTCCTGCAACCAATCAGACTGGTTACAGGTCAAGTCTTCATTTACATAGCATGTAGCCAAGTAACCAATGGGAAACCTCTAGAGGGTATTTAAACCCCAGAAAATTCTGTAACCAGCCCTCTCTAGCCACTTGCTCAAGCCGGCTTCCACTCTGTGGAGTGTACTTTTGTTTCAGTAAATCTATGCTTTCATTGCTTCATTCTTTCATTGCTTTGTTTGTGCATTTTCACCAATTCTTTGTTCAAAACACCAAGAACCTGGATGACTCATAGTCAAGACCCTCCCCTAGTAACATATTTTGGCAAGCCAGCCAGGAGTAAGCCCAAAGTTTGGGATTTGTTTTTCTTCTCTTCTCATTTTCCTTTTTCCTCTCTGCTTCATACAGGGGAACCCTTTTCTCTCTCTCTTTTTCCCTTTCTAACTAGGAACTCTTGATAGGCAGTGCCTAGGCACGAACACGACTGCAGTTTTCTGGCTGGTGCTACTCTCTGATGAAACTGAAAGGTTTCCATGTGGAAGCACCTGACCACCAATGCCTGGTTCGGGTGCGGGACCTGAGTTCTTTTCCTTTTTGAAACTCCTTAGTCTTTCAGTGGCCATTTCTTAGTAGCTCCTTGGTAATTGAAAGCAACCCGGCTAGGTCTACTCTTCAGTGTTTCCTGAAGGCCAAGGAGTGAATGGGGATAGCTGCCCTGCCCAGAAATGGGAAGGACTCTTTTCTGTCTTTTCCAGTTATAGTCCCTGATCCCTATGTTGATGCAATTGGCAGTGGCTGCTCGTCCAGGGCAAATTCACACACATCTCAGGAAAGTTAAACCCACTTTTCTTATGATAAATTATCCTATAAAGTTATCCTGTAATGGCAAAAGATAATGTATCTTAGGCATTGTTACCTCTCTTCTCCTACTTGATCTACTTCACTGGCTAAGGGCCTTTGGGACCAACAAGGTTTAGAATACATTCTACATCTTGGACCTCCACTGAAGGGACCACATAGCTTCATGGTCATTGCTTTGGCATCAATTTTCTTGCCCTGAATCCCACAGAAATTCTCAACCCCAGTTTTTTATATACTCCTTGGACCTTTCCGTAATGGGGAATACCCCACCAACCTTGGTACTGTTAACTCTGCAATGTTTGGGAACCTTCATTAAATCCAAGAAGATACAGCCTATCTAAACGGTGGGATGCTAAAAGTCAAGGATTACACCTAGGAGGCAAAGGAAAGCTCATAGTAGGCTATCACCTCTGCAGGAAAAACATACAAAGTGGCCCTAGTGCCCACCTAAGGTCAGAGATATCTGACACTCTAAGATTAGACCCCAAAGTGGGATGTCCCAGGGGATCCAGCTCCAGACCTCAACCTATCCAAAGTGGATGCCCCAGGTAGAGGTTTTAAGGTCTAGTACTAAGGCCTCCTTAGAATTTTCTCTGTCTTGCAGACCATTGGAATCTGAAGCTCCCATCAGCCACTACATCTGTGAACCTGAAGAAGACCTGAAGTACCTGTTTAAAAGACAGCCAAAAGATAGGTAAATGCCTACTAACTTTCCTTGGTGTCTTTGTTGCATAGTTACTGTAAGCTGGATAATAGTAGCAATTTTTATATTTTTACAATTCAGTTGCATTCTTCCAAATAGGTGGAATCCCTTCTTTTGTAACAATTAAGCAAAGTGTTTTAATTCATTTTTATAACAAGCATTCCTTACAGCATAGGTATCCACCCCCTGAAGTTCCCATTTTATAGAACAACAACAACAACAAAAAAAACACATAAAACAAGTATTTTTTGTTGTTGTTTCTTAATGGTCACTCACAGCCTGTGTATACTGGGACCATGCATATTGGGAATTAGCTTAATTTTACAGTGGGGCCTCACTTTATCCCTCTGGCAATTAATGGATTCTGGGTATTTATTAAGAACTTTAAATTTAATGCAAAGACTGTTAAATACCACCAGCCCAGCTCTGGTAAAGGACTGTTGGCATTGTTTGTCTCCATTATTATTCAAACACATTACCATCCCAATCCCAGCCTGATCTTAAGCCCTTGAAAAAAATAACCTACAATGGCAAGATGAGCAGTAAACCTTCTCCATTCCTCTCAGAGCAACCTTTCTGGGGTTGCATCCTCACGGAAACCCATTTTGGGCCCAATATCAACAAACACTGAACTAAAATTCTAGTCACCACTTTGTTTTAAGAAAAGTCAACATTTTGATCAGACTTGAAAAGTCATCAATGCAACTATGCCCTGGAAATTAACCCCTCACACAATCATGTAAGCTATGCATTTACCCAAACTGCATCATTTAGAAAACCTGTACAGTTTTAATGGAAACCATCCTTAGATATCAAAACTTTAAAGGATATATAGTCTAAGTACTGTCAAGGCAAGCCCATTAGTTGTGTTCATATTTTCTCTTGGCCACTTTAGCAGGGATCTGAACCACTTGGGAAGGCGAAAACAAAGAGCTGACCCATATGTTCACCATACAGAACAATTTCTGTCTTGAAAAACAAGGAGCCTTTTTCCTGTGTGCAACTAGTTCCTACTTATGCTTACCAGCCAATTGAACTGGAACCAGTATACTTGTTTATTTAGCCCCCAAGATTAATATAGCTCCCAAAAATCAATCCCTCATTATTTCTTTAACTGCAAACACCCAACACAAATGAGCCATCAACTCATACCCCTTTTGGTAGGACTAGGAATAACGGACTAGGAACAGGAGCTCGCATCCTTGCAACTTCCCTATCCTATTACCAACGCTTGTCCGAGAATCTTTCAGACAGCTTGGAAGACATTACCCAAAGTACTGTCATCATACAAAATAAAATGGAGTCCTTGGCAGTAGTCACTTTACAAAATAGAAGGGGACTGGATCTCCTTCTGAAAAAGGTGGCTTATGTCTTTTTCCTAGAAGTATGCTGTTTTTATGTCAGGTAAATAGATAACTTAGCATTTGTCAAATATGTTGATCATTTCAGAAAACAAACTCTAGTTTTACTGATCTTTTCTGTTATTTCATTAGTCTCTGTACATTTATTTCTGTTCTAATTTTTATATTTCCTTCTTTCTCCTACTTTGGGCTTAATTTGTTCTTCCTTTTAAGGCATACAAATGGCTACTTGGTATATAAAGCATGCTCATTATTATTAATCATCAAGGAAATATAAATTGAAACCATAATATGATATAGAATAGATATTACCAACAAAGAGAAATAATCAATTCAGTTTAAAAATAAATATTGATAGGGAAGTGCTAATATTGCCATTTTTTTAAATGTTCTCCATCTATTTTGTAATACTTTTGTTCCTCTTTTTCTCTCTTGCCATTTTCATTTGTGTTTCATTGAGTTTATTTTTTTTGGTAGTTCTAATATTTGTTTTCTTCCTTATTTTCTTTTGTGCATCTTCTGTATGTATTATTTTGGTGGTTACTATGAAGCTTACACAAAACATTTTATAGATATAAAGGTCAATTTTAAGCTGATAACAATTTAACTTTAATCATATCTACATTTTTACTTCTCCCCTATACTCTTTGTGTTATTGATGTCACAGATTACATCTTTTTATAGTGTATATTCGTTAACAAATTTTTGTTTTTATAGCCATTCTTAATACTTTGTTACTTAACTTTTATACTAAATTAAGTGTGATTTACACACCATCATTACCTAATTACACTATTATATATTTGTCTATATATTTACATTTGTATGGTGAGTGTTATACTTTCATATGCTTTTGTGTTGCTTTTTAGCATCATTTTGTTTCAACTTGCAGAACTCCCTTTGCCATTTCTTGTAAGGCACGTCTAGTGATGATAAACTTCCTTAGCTTTTGTTTGCCTGGATAAATCTTTAACTCTCCTTCATTCTTAAAGAACAGTTTTGTCAGGTATAGTCCTCTTTGTTGGCAGTGTTTTTCTTTCTACATTCTGAATATACCATTCCACTCCCTCTGACCTGACACATTTCTGCTGAAAAATTTGCTGTTTGTTTTATGAGGGTTCCTTTGTCTGTGACAAAGTGCTTTCCTCTTGTTGGTTTCAAAATTCTCTTCTTATCTTTGACTTGTGGCAATTTTGACTAGGTGTAGACTTCTGTGGATATATTGTTTAGAAATCTTTTGGCTTTATTAATCTGGATGTCCATTTGCCTCCTCACATTTAGTAATTTTTCAGCCATTATTTTTTAAGTAAGCTTCTTGCCTTTTTCTCTCTCTTCTCTTTCTGAGACTTCCATAATGGATCCATTGATTTGGTTGATGGTGTCCAATAAATCCTACAAAATTTCTTCACATTTTTCATTCACTTTTCTTGTTGCTTCTCTGGATAATTTCAAATGACTTGTTTTAGAGTTTGCTGATTCTTCTGTTTGATCAAGTCTGCTCTTGAAACTCTCTTTGGGATTTTTCAATTCAGTTATTGTATTTTTCAGCTGCAGATTTTTTGTCTCTTTTATATGGTTTTCATATTTTTGTTGATATTTTTATTGTGTTCATGAATCATTTTTCTGTTTTAGCATTCTATTTGTGTTCTCTTATACCACACTGGTCTTTTCAAATATGATTATTTTGAATTATTTGCCAAGGTTTTTATAGATCTCCTTTTGTTTAGGCTTGGTTACTAAAGATTTATTTTGTTCCTTTGGTAATATATATTTCTTATTCTTTATATTTCTTGTAGTTTTGTGTTGATGTCTGAACATTTCATGAAACAGCCACCTCTTTCAGTGTTATGGACTGATTTTGCCAGCATAAGATCTTCACCAACTGACCCTGCTAGAGATTCTGGTATTCTAACTATCCTTTTATTTTGATGTGTCCACTCCACTCTTCTCCCTACTTTCTGGAAAATTAGTCTAAGGATTGTATGCCTTCCACCAATCCCACATAGCCATACTAGGTGCTGAGATCTGCCTGCGCCTTTTTCCCAAGGGAGTGCACTGAGATGCTGGAGCATTGAGCGTAAACTTCACTTCTCTCCCTCTCTCCTGTAGGAGAAATCTCAGGATTGTCCACCTTCTTTCAATCCGCAGAGCCAAGCCAGCTGCTAAGAGCCATATAGGCTGCTGAGCGCCATGCCGAGTGTTGAGACCTGCACCAGCTGCTGAGATCTGCACATATGTGAGATTTGTGTGCCAACATATGCATGCCAGTTGCTGAGGACCATGTGTCAGCTGCTAAGATCCCCCCTACACCTCCCCTTTTCTTTGCTCTTAGCTACTTTCAGGCATTCCAACTATGCAGGTTTTCCCAACACTCTGAATGAGGTAAGACAGAGTGTTCAAGTGTTCTGGGCACTTCCCAAGATTTGGTCTCTGGGAAGTGCCCAGGAAAGCTGAGGAAGTTGTGATCATACTTAGCTCTCTCTTTTCCCTGGGGGAGAAACCACAGGCTGAGGGAACCTCTCTAGGCATGGAGCTGTGATGGCCTGCAGAAGGGATAATGTGAGTAAAATAAAACTGCTTTTCTTACCCATTTTAATACAGTGCTCTCAGTTTTGTACTTTTCTCGGGCACTGCAACTTCTTCATTGAATTCTACAATTCTCAATAAGGCATGTTGATACATGTATATTTGCCAAGTCAGTGTTTTTATACAGGAATTCATGCTGTGACTTCTTATTCTGCTATCTTGCCAATGAATTCCGGTACATTTTAATGCATGCATACAAGGTTACAAAACTATATTTCCATTTTGTAGTTTCAAAGCTTATGTAGAAAGTCTGAAAAAAAAATTTTCCATAGGCTAATGTATAATAATGAATGAATGCACTATTTCCTTGCATAATATATTTGGTAATGCCATAACTTAAAATTACAACTGACTTAGGATCATATTTTAAAGGCATATTTTTAAGTCTCAATAATATAAAAGACAAGATAATGACATCCCTTTTTAAGGGCCTCCAAAAGCTTAGTAAATTTTATTTTAAACTGATTTTAAGGATATAAAATGAGACACAAAAGGCAGAATATAAAACCATGTATACAGTATTACCCTAATACACATATACGAGGGAAAAAAATCATACATAAATATAATAGTGGTTATCTCCGGTATAACTAAGGTGATTTTTATTTTCTCACTTGTGCCTTTTGGTACTTTGTATTATATAATAAAATATTGTGAAGATATTTCTTAATAACCCAATTATTATTATGTTTTTGATAACTCGAGAAACTAGAGTATTTTCAAAGCAATCTTAAAAAAAATCTATTAATGTGAACTGAATAAAAACTTTTCTTCCCTTTGTGTGTGTGTGTGTGTGTGTGTGTGTGTGTGTATACACATGCACATGTATTTTCTTGGTAATATCAAAATAGAATTCTGAGTTATGAATAAGCTGAAAAGAATACTTCTAGGTCTCAGAGTCTCTCGTAATGGGAAGATTATTTATTCAGGGTGGTAATAAGTGGTTTATTCAAGGTAGTAATAATTCAGTTTCAACACAATAAATAGGCCAGGTCAAACACAATCACTGGTCCAATTTTACTGCATGAAATACAAATAAAATTACAAGGAATGGAAATCAAGTTCTGTCTTTTGCTACGTTATAAAGTTGTATAAGTCTTAAGGTGGATGATAGATGGAAGAATGAATTGTGTACACTGCTGCCACTGAAATGGTGTTAATACATTTGAACTTCAAATACAGTCGAGTTCCTGAAGCAATACATGACAGACTAGGATCCTCCTGGATTGTCAGTGTTTTCATTTAAGTCCTATATTATTATCTTTGTCCCTTTCTCTCGCAAGAAGTAAATCTTAAGACATTCTACTTTCTCATCAGTTCTTCCCATACCCAATTCCAGTATATGCATAAGTCTGCCCTCCACTCTTAATCTGCTTGTTTCAGAATTGCTATTTATTTCTAGAGTAGGGTTGGTTAGAATTGTACAGTAATTGTAAATTCCTTCTTTTGTTCTGTAAACTCTTGAGGATAAGAACAATGTCTTATTTAACTCTTGTTGTTATCTGTTATCTACAAGCATATACACATTGATTTTCACATAACAGATAATCAGTAAATGAATGATGTAGTAATTTACCGGTTTAGTAACCTAGTAATTTCTAGTAATTTAATAACAGGAATTTCTAGGTTTTCTTCCTGGTTTCTGGCAAGCCCAGGGAGAAGTAGAAAAGCCTTCAATCAGAATTGAAGGTTGTTTCACTAATAGTAACTTCCAATTTGGCTCATTATGATAATACTAAATTTCCTAATTAGTTTTCAGTATATATTTAGACAGCTGGTAATGAAATACCAATTTAAAAGCATGACCATTTCTATGACTTCAAAAGACTCAGCATGTCCTGTAAGAAAGCAAGCATTAGTTGAGCTAGTCTGATTTTTGACCACACTCTAATTTATGCCAATAGAAAATATGCATTAACACATTGAGCTGCTGCTAAGTGCTGAGGTCAGTTGTGCATTTTATAGTTCAGCTGCATAGAAAGAATTTTATTGCTTTTCATAGCCATGCTGCAGTAAAAAGGGTTTTTTATGATGTCACAGAAAATTAATTGAGGTACATTGCCTAGAAACTGAAAAAGGTCATATGTGGAATATAACTGACACCCCATAACCCCTATTACTGATTACTAAAATGCAAATTAGCGCTCTTCATTTCCCTATGAGTAGCACAACTGTTCTTTAAATTTAAATTACAATTTTATTTGCTTACACCATTTAAACTTAAAGCTTAATCTGTTTTTTCCAAGTAATGTCAATACAGCTTTACAAACTGTACATCGGTATTCATACAAAATATTTGAAAGTTACAATTCTATCTGTATAATACACAGGAAAAAGTTAATATTTATAGTAATAGCTTATTTGATGAATTTATCATCCTCCTTTGCTTACATTTAATCATGTGTTTTGATATATTACCCCTACACTAAAGAAATGCAGAACATATGAAAAGCCAATTTTAAACATAGATATGAGATAAAGCCCAAGAAATATATATCACAAGAAATGTTATTTAATATTGCCAACAAATCTTTTTACTGTTAACAGATCACGTATAGAATTTGGCAGTATCAGACCAATTATTTCAATTTTAACATATATAATTTTCCACATGAAATGACTTCTGTCTGCTTTGCAAACAACGGAAATGATAGCAAAGAGTGAATTTTGTCATATCACATCATCCGAGAAAGGCATGATTGGCTGATTCTGCTCCAGTTCTCCAAAGCCCATTGATATGGCCTATGGAGTCTTAGAAGATGGAGAACTTTCTCTGTATTAACTTAAAAATGAAACTAACTCTTGAATGCACGTCTGCCTGCACATAGCACAAAGTTTTTCAGCTGTGAACTCAAAGCGAATGCGGTAAAATGATAACACAATGCATGTTAAAGAGCTCTGACAGAAAAGTGAGGAAACAATTCAAGTTCATTCAAGAGACGAATAAAGGCCGGGTGTGGCAGCTCATGCCTGTAACCCCAGCACTTTGGGAGGCCGAGGCGGGTGGATTACCTGAGGGCGGGAGTTCAAGACCAGGCTGGGCAACATAGTGAAACCCCATTTCTACTAAAAATACAAAAATTAGCCAGGCATGGTGGCAGGCACCTGTAATACCAGCTACTTGGGAGGCTGAGATAGGAGAATTGCTTGAATGCAGGAGGCAGAGGTTGCAGTGAACTGAGATCACAGCACTGCACTCTAGCCTGGGCAACAAAAAGCGAAACTCCGTCTCAAAAAAAAAAAAAAAAAAGAGAGAGAGAGAGACAAAGAGGCTATTCTGCAACCATTTAGAGATCTATATATTCAGGGAAGATAAATTATGCTTATACAGTGTGGTATTTGCTTTATTACAGTTAACCACAAACGACAGATTCACATCATTTCTTATATTCATATACCTAAATCTTTTCACTTGCCCAGTGTTTCTCAAATTTTAATGTGCATATGAATCACCTGAAGTCTTGTTAAAATGCATTTTCATTCAGCAGGTCTGGGATGTGGCATGGAGTCTGCATTCGTAACAATCTTCCAGGTGATGCTGATACTGCCAGTTTAAAGATCTCACTTTGAGTAGCAAGACTCTAGAAAATAAACAATGTACTTCTTGCCTTATGGATGTAACTTACTGCTCAATACCATGGTTCTCAATTCCACCTACACTAGAGCTTTTTTTATACGTAAAGTTGTTCAGGCTCCAATTCAGACCTTCTGAATAAGAATTTTCAAGGTTAGTGTCTCTATATCTGTTTTTTTTTTTTTTTTTGACACTACACAAATGTTTTGTATACAGAGTTAAGAATTACTCAGACATTTTCAAATTCATGATTAAGAATAAAAAATTGTTATTTTGTGATTTTTCTCTGTGAGTCAAAGGTTGCATGGTATATGACCATGTTATTTGCAGTGTATGTTAATAATGTACATACATATTTCGTGCAACCTGGCTCAACATATATTACTGAAAATGGCAACAATGGGAATGAGAGAATTTTAGCATAATGATCAAACACATAGTGTACATCCAGGGTCTCTTTAAAATAGCCTTTGCATCATTGCAGGATTATTAAGCATGGTTCCATTGGGGAGTACACATATTCAGACATAGATTCCTGTCCTAGAACCCGGATAAAACCACCGCATAGATTATCATGCATACAGATTTCCTAATTCTTCTTTGATCGCACACCTAATATTTCCTGTCTAGGATATATAACTAAAAATCCTCCATAAGATATTATACTCTGAAAAACATGTCAGGGCAATTATAGAAATAAAGAAAATACCCCTTTTATCTGTAGAATTGGCATTTTTAAGTCCATCAAGGTTTTGAGTTGAACAAATTTTTCATGAGTCAGAAATTCATCTCTAAGCATCAGTAAAACACATAAAATTTGCAATTTAGTTATGAAAGGTTTGGGATGAAGGTCATATTATTTCTAACAATATTTTATTTGAAGAAGATGGAAACAGCAAGAGAAATATTCTGATGGCAAATAATGAGCTCTGCCATAAACACATTTAAATAATATAAAAATATAAATGACATAAATGCAATTAATACTATAAATTGATCATATACATTTCTGATATTAAATTTCAAATGAAAACCTATTAAATATAAACCCAAATTGTCTACTATGAAACTATATTTTATAATGAGTTCTACTTTGTTGCTCTATCAAATCCTTGATGAATCAGTATTGTTTCTTGTGACAAAAGAAGAAACCTTGATTTAGATATGCATACCTCTATTTAAATTCCAGATTACAACATTGCCATAATTATTGTAAAACTTGTGATAGAATGCAACCATTGTTCTGAATACAGACAAATAATGTAATGCTCTTGATCACATTTTCAACATTAACCTGACACTTTTAACAATTAGAATGTTAGATAGCCATTTATTGTGACCTTCCAGTGGTGTGCTGGAGCTAGCTGACACAAGCTTATGAGAGCTAATTATAAACATATCTTCCCAACTCTGTGTTCAGTGACATCACATAGATAACCTGAAATTGTCCATAGTGGGCATCTTTACACAATGGAAATAGTTACACTTCGGAAATTGACAAACTCTACAAATTAAAGCTTTTCTCTTTTTCAGAAAGCTGGATATTAAATATTTACCGCACACCATTGGACCCCTCATATATATCAGACACCCTGCTAGACAATTTACATAAATTCATTGTTATTTTAACCTCATAATGACTCTATGAGGTTAATATTATTATTTTTATTTAAAAATGTGGAATCTAAAGCTCAGAGATGTTATTGTCACTTATAGGTAATAAGTGGCAGAGCCATGATTAGAACACAAATCTGTCTGATTACAAAGCTCATATAAATATAAATATATCAGATTGTGCATTGTAACAAGGTACCTAAATGTTCCGTATGCACAGTAAGCTTTTTAATTTTTTGTACCTTTAATTTTTGTGAGTACACAGTAAATGTATATATTTATGGGATACATGAGATGTTTTGATATAGGCATGCAATGTCAGATAATCACATTATGGAGAATGGGGTCTCCATCCCCTCAAGCATTTATCCTTTGTGTTATAAACAATTCAACATTAAACTTTGAGAAGTATTAGTCTAAACCATTTTAGAATGCAAATGGTGTTCATGCCTACATATCTGTCTTGTAACATTTTAAATATAATTTCCATTTACCTTACCTCCTTTTCCCATTTTGGAAACTCAGATGTTTAGGACAATGTTATTTGATAAAAATGTTCATTTTTATGAAGACTTCACTGTGGCCATAAAGAAACTGGAGCCAGGGAAATAAAATTGGATAACAAATATATAAAGTAGGTGTTAAGTGCCTGTATGAAAATATACCTGGTTATAACCTTGCATATCTTCCATAGTCTTGAAAGAGATAAACTGGAGTATTGCCTTGAAAAGCTTCTCAAGACCAGTTATACATAACTACGGAATTATTTGACAAGAGAGGAAATGCTAACTATTCTTTTGTGAATTCTTTTTAGGGTTGGATGAAGATGTAATTGTAAGGAAATAGAAGTGGTGACTAATGTATAGGTCACATAAGCTTCTACTCTGCTTCATTATTTCTTCCTAAATTGCTCTAGACTCTTGATTACAGATCATCCATGTAATTGCTAGCATCAGCATAAATTATTTCATACAGTATATTTTAGAAATTACATCTCACCTCTAAATGTTTTGATTAGCTGATGTTGAAACCAATGTTAAAATAAGTTCATACATTTATCAATACAATTCTCTTTAAAATGCAAGCTTAGCCTGCTCATCAAGTGATAATAGAGAAAAGTTGAAGGACTTTGGCATTAAATATTTTCAAATAGCATATATTGAACTAATAAGATTTTGCCTTCATTCCCTTTAATCTGACATATTTTTTTTCATAATTTAGACAAGTATTTTTACCATAATTCTCCCTGCCTTTACAATTGTTAAAAAGCAAATTACATAGACATACAGTACTTTGATGGTTTTTATTCATCTTTAGCCTAAATATATAGTGCTCTGATATTTTTTACCACCATTTGCCTTTAAATTCAAAAGGGTTTTTTGTTGTTGTTTATTTGTCTTTAAAAATTACATGATCACCTCTCATTCACACGTGCAAAGCAAAAACTAAACGTCCACTAATTAAGAAGCTGTCACTTGTATCTTCTTGGTGTTTTTCTGTGTTAGTATATAATCTTGAAAAAGACTAACACTGAATAAGAGAAGCCTAACGAATAAGTTACTTGACAGATTTCCTTTATTCTTTGACTTCTAACAATCATTCTGGCCTATCTGTGGGGCTCTAAACCTAGGTTAATTTATTCCCACCAGTAGATAATTTGTATTTCAAAAAATTATGGAATGATTTGGAGATTTATGTAGCCATCAAAATGGACCTACAGGTCTGGGTTATTTGGAGTCCCAATCACCTCAGGTTGACCCAAACCAATCAGATACTTCATTATTCATCTTCTGACCTGGCGTTAAGCTGCTTTGAGCCAGTCCAGAACAACCATTACAATTTAGCATTTCCAGTATCAAGTATAAGGCATACACTACAGATCCTTTCTTTTGTATCCATTCTTTTGTTTACCTCATCATTCCATTGATCACATAAATCATTTTATATGAATTATAAAATTGACATTGCCTGTGCTGAATGTAATTGATATTGGGGTGTCAAATAGTTGTCTAATGAAAAGAGTAATTAAATAATAACAATGTAATATTTTATAATTTCCTTCCTATCGGTATATGATAGAAGGAATTAGATTTATACCTAAGCATTCATCCAATAAGATTTGGACATGTATTACCTAAATTAATTGCCTTGCCACTAATCTAGTCATACATTACTGGTTAAAAAAACAAAACAAAACAAAAAAAAACTAGGTTTACTGTCTTCTAAATAAAAAAGCCAAGAGTGACACATTCCTGGAGTGTGGAAAGAATCTTAATCAAGCTTAATTACCAACTATGGAATACTAAAAAGAAAATAAGTGTAAAGTGTTTGGTCTTAAAAATAATGGAATTTTTATAATTTTACTTGTCTTACTGATTTGAAATAAAAAGACAAAATTTTTTTAAAAATTTATTTTCTTTAAGGGAATAAAAATGAAAAAGCTGTAATGAACTAAAGATCTGTAAATAAATAAAAACATGACCAGATGTTTATTAAGTAAAGCAAATATAATACTGTGTTTTTACAGTGCAATGTTTCCAAGCAGGATTTACAGTCATTACTTGGTGAAATGAATTGTATGTTTGTGTCCTGCACAAATTCATATGTCAAAACTTTAATCACCATGCGATGGTAGTTTGAGGTGGGGCCTTGGAGATGTAATTAAGTCATGAGGCATGAATGGCAGTAGTGCCTTTATAAGAAGAAGCTAGAGAGCTAGCTGGCTCTCTTTCTGCTACGTGAGGATACAAGAAGAACTGTGAGAAATAAATATTTGTTGTTTAAGCCATTCAGTTTATGATATTTCGTTATAGCACTCTGAGCTAAGACATTTGATATGCTGACTTGATGAGTAGCAACAATGTGTGAAGAATCATCTCATTTCCCATGAAAGGATGGGTTAGAAATCATTTTTAAGATCCCATAAGAAAAGTAAAATGAAGGATGATTGGAAATACTAGATCCTCTGTATAAGTGTAACATAAAAAAAGGGGTAGAATCAGATTATGATTTTAGGTTAAATTAAGCCTTAGAAATTTGAAAAATCAATTTTCAAAAATAATTATTTTATTACAAGTTCAATAACTTCAAACCTTAAGGCTGGAAGATATCACTTGATTATTCTTTTTACTATTTTAAATCAATTTCCACACTTTTTTTTTTTTTTTTTTTTTGAGAAGGAGTCTTGCATTGTCACCCGAGCTGGAGTGCAGTGGCACAATCTCGGCTCACTGCAACCTCCACCTCCCAGGTTCAAGCGATTCTCCTGCCTCAGCCTCCCGCGTAGCTGGGATTATAGGCGCCCACCACCATGCCCGGCTAATTTTTTGTATTTTTAGTGGAGACAGGGTTTCACTAAGCTGCCCAGGCTGGTCTCCATCTCCTGACCTTGTGATCTGCCCACCTTGGCCTCCCAAAGTGCTGGGATTATCCCAAAGGGCTGGGATTACAGGCGTGAGCCACCATGCCCGGCCAATTTCCACACATTTTAATTGGCAAGATATGTGGAAATTTAATGTTTTGACTTGGGTCACAGCCATACACATTGTGAATTATTTTCACCATCCTAACAATGTTCTTCAGATCTATGCAATATACACTTTTAAATAGTACAATTACATATTATGAATAAATTTCTCTGGAAGGGCATAGTTATTGAAATAAAAATATATGTGCACATAAAGCATATATATTCAGAAGTATACTGAACATTTACCAGAAAAGTTTGTACAACTTTATAAAATGCTTCTTCAAGGTTTGTGAAGTTAAATTGATATCAAATATTTGTTTGAATTATCTTTTTCCAAATAACTAGAAGTTAAAGCCTGTGTATTTCCAGGGTTTGAATAAACGTATAATGAATTTTTTATTTCTTCTTTCTAAATCTACCTTTATAGCTGTAATAAATGCACAGTACATTGATGAATTTCTTAAATCACTTAGGTATTATATCAAATTAAAGTATCTGAAGAAGAAAAATGGACTGTTTGATCTTTGCTAGAGAAAAACAATGATTCGTTTTATCACAAATCACTCTCTTTTCTTTGATTTAAAAATGATATTCTGGCTGGGTGCAGTAGCTCACGCCTGTAATCCCAATCCTTTGGGAGGCCGAGGAGGGCGGATCACTTGAGGCCAGGAGTTCCAAACCAGCTTGGCCAACATGGCAAAACTCCATCTCTACTAAAAATACAAAAATTAGCCGGGTGTAGTGGCGCTTGCCTGTAATCCCAACTACTCCGGAGGCTACGACAGGAAAATAGCTTGAACCCGGGAGGCAGAGGATGCAGTGAGCCGAGATCGGCCTGGGTGACAGTGCCAGACTATCTCAAAAATGAAAATATACATACATAAAATAAAAATAATAAAATAAAAAATAAGAACGCTATCCTGGCATTTTGTCCAATCTCCTATGTTGTCATTCATCCACAGGGTGTTTTGCAGGTTACTATAAGTCAATTACACAACAGGTTTATGAATTTGGGAATGAATTCTAACATATGATGAATTTACACACATTTCCACAGCTTCAAAGAGAGTCATGGAGACTCTTCAGGATTTCAATTGAGCCAAAATGTATTTAGCCCAACTAGAAAAATAAGAAGATAAATATGTTTCTTGCCAAAAATTTGTATTATGGAACTTAATTAACTGTATTTTAAATTTCCAAAGTAACAGCTCAAAATTGCATACTCTGAGGTAA
Source organism: Homo sapiens (assembly GCF_000001405.40). NCBI lineage: Eukaryota > Metazoa > Chordata > Mammalia > Primates > Hominidae > Homo > Homo sapiens. Next base: position 87,740,837 of record NC_000023.11, on the reverse strand, counting down.
TATGTTTGTGGAAGAAGGCATTATTATAGTTCAATGGAGGAAAAAAATGAATAAAGTTATGAAAGAGAACGTGATAGTTGGTATAAAAAATGCTGGAACAATAGCTGGAAAATTGAATCCTTACCGGCACTCACTATAAAGAGTAAAATTTGGCATGCATGAAATAAGATGCTACTTTACTTGTAATTTATCACTCAGTGAGTCTGTCTCAGTTCATTTAATTTCACTTTCATGGTACTTACCCTTTCTCCTTTTTTATTCCCCCTAATCTTAAAGCCACAGGCATGCTCCCTTCTTTTTGCTTTATCCTTTCTCACTTCCTTTAGTCAGCTTCAGCCTTAATCAGTCCAGCATTACCATTACTTTTTATAAAGTTAAAAAAAAAAAAGCTTGGTTTCTAATTTTAAGGCTGAGATATGTTCATTTTATTAAAAAAGATAAAAAGAAGAAAGATATTGACTGCCATTGCACTCCAAAGAGAGATAGCCGTTGTTAATATTGTGTTATGTTTCCTTCTAGTCATTTTGGTACACATATATTTACAAAGTTAAGATCATATTGTATATATACTTTCAATCATGGTGGTTTTATTGAATGTCATATCAGAAACATTTTCTACCTCACAGTTTTTCAAAAGTTCATTTTAATTGCTGCATATTATTTTGTTGTACAAATGTATTCTAATTTATATGACCAGTCGACTATGTCATTTCATTTCCTGTGCTATTAAAAATAACATTGTGTGAACAGTAATGAGCATAAATATTTTTATTTATATGATTATTTACTTAAAAATAGGTTTCTAGAAAGAAATTGGTGGGAGAATTCTTTTTTTTAAGGCACTTGATATTTTACTAGGTTTCTTTCCAGAAAGGATGTGCTAATTTACATCCTCATTAGCAAAATGTGAGACTTCCATATTTTTTTGATGAAAGACATACAATTCATCCTTTTTATTGGTCAAACTAAACAAATTAGTAGCGTTATATTAATGTTACGCTTGAGGAATTACATGAAGTGCCCTTTTTTATCTTGCATCTGAGCAGACTGATGTACTTGCTCTAGCTTTCAGAAGGAAACGCAATAAACTTGTGGAATCATGAAAGAGTATTCTCTCTTGGGTGAATTTGTTTTGGGAAGTAGCTAAATTCTACAAGTCTTCCAGGAACGTGTGGGAAAATTTCCAACTCTGTGGGGTTTTTTTTAATTTTTACTATCAAAGACTTTGATCTGATGACACCAACCTGAATTATCCCAATTTCTTTATTGCACAGTTCATACTTTTAAAAAATCTATTTTTCTTTACTAATACTTGATATTTTAGAGCCCAGTCATAGCATTTAGTTACATGTAGTTTAGTATGTGTGTTGCATTTATGTTTATATCTCCTGCAATGATTAAAAGACACTGAGAGCCAGGAACAGTGGCTCACGTCTGTACTCCAAGCACTTTGGGGAGGCCAAGGTGGGTGGATCACCTGAGGTCAGGAGTTCGAGACCAGCCTGCCCAACACGGTGAAACACCGTGTCTACTAAATACACAAATATTAGCTGGGCATGGTCGCGGGCACCTGTAATCCCAGCTACTCAGGAGGCTGAGACAGGAGAATCGCTTGAACTCAGGAAGCGGAGGTTGCAGTGAGCCAAGATAAAAAAAAAAAAACAGTGAGAAACAGGGTCCATATTTATATTTATATTTTCGTAAGTTTTGTAGAACACAAAATGGCAACTTAAAAATAGTTAAGGTAAATCCCAGGTGGGCTGAAGAATTCTGCTCAAAGAAAGAAAAGGAGAAATGTGCAAAATACCACTGCATATGCTTAGTTTTAAAATGTTATTCCAGAAATGTAGGGAGTGTTGATAAATGTTTTCTCTGAAAAGAGGGCTATTAGCTGTCTCCGTCTTATTCTTGTTGCTGTAACAGAATACCTGAGACTGGGTAATTTATAAAGAAAATACATTTATTTCTTATAATTCTGAAGACCAGGAAGTCCAAGGTTGAGGGACCACATCTCATTGCCTTCTAGTGAGTGTCTTGTGCTGTGTTATAACACAGTGAAAGGCATCACAGGACAAGAAAGACACTAAACTGGCTTTAATAACAGATCCACTCTTATGATAACTGACCCATTCCCATAACAACCATTAATCCATGAACAGATTAATCTATTCATAAGGGTGGGAACTTCATGACTCAATCACCTTTTAAAGTCCCCACTTTTTAATGCTGTTCTCTTGATGATTAAGTTTCAACATGAGCTTCATGGGGTACAAAGATTCAAAGCATAGCAGTAGCCATATGTTACATAAGTATTCTTATTGAATGACTCCTGAGATGTGCTCTCAAGATGGAGACATTATTGCATTGTTTGAACAACTCCTTGGAACAGAAAGCCTGCCCACTTCAAAACTGAAGTATAAAACAACAACTCAAAGCTGTATATCATAGATGACATGATTAAGAGCATATATATATATATATGTATATATATATATATATATATATATATTTTTTTTTTTTTTTTTTGAGATGGAGTTACACTCACTCTGTTGCCCAGGCTGGAGTGCAGTGGTGCGATCTCGGCTCACTGCAACCTCTGCCTCTTGATTTCAAGCGATTCGCCTTCCTCAGCTTCTTGAGTAGCTGGGATTATAGGCACACGCCACCACACCTGGCTAATTTTTGTATTTTTAGTAGAGACAGGGTTTAACCATGTTGGCCAGGCTAGTCTCGAACTCCTGACCTCAAGTAATCCAACAACCATGGTCTCCCAAAGTGCTGGGATTACAGGCGTGAGCCACCACACCCAGCCAATAGCATGTATATTAAAGATAGATTGCTGGAGATTAAATTTTTATTTTACTACTTACTAGCTGTGTAAACTTGGGCAAGACACTTTCTGTCTCTGTACCTCAGTTTCTTCATCTGAAACATATGGAATAATAATAGTATTTATATCATTGGGCCATTGATATGATTAAATTAGTTAACAGGTAAAATATGTTTAGTACTGTGCCTGGTTAATATTAAGACTTTATGAATATTTACTATTATGATCATATGCCATGACCAGGATTCACTAACCGTTTTACTTTTTCTTTCTATCCTAAAGTAGAAGCAGGAGACACAATAGTATTTTTGACCTGCTTTGTTTGCTTTCTTTTTCTAATCTGGTTCCTAGACCCAACTGGGTAAGCAAGCAGCTCTCCTTCATTCCTTTCAAATCACATTTTTTTTTCTTTCAGAAAATTCACTGATTGAGTCATTAGAAAGAGAGCTTCAAAGTAGAAAGTTAAGTTCTGGGACATACAAAATAACTCCAATATATATTGCCACTCTAGAGTGACTTTCCTGTGAGCCCTTACCTTGAAGCACATTCTGTTTCTTTATGTTATTATTTTGCATAGACAGTGAAACTATAAAATACCGTAATAAGATGCATACAAAATTTAGTCACTTACAATGGAGGTTCTGTTATTGTGAGCTTAATAAACTACCACCAATGTTGGTAGCCCGAGTAGCAATCTGTAAGGTAGCCCAGGGTCTTGACCACACTCTCCAAATCTGCTGTGGTTGTACCTACGATGTGGTGCCACTCAGTGGTAGATGTTTACTGTGTCTAAAGTATCTATCAGGATGATGATTCTGGATCTTGTCACTGGTTGGGCTTTTAGAACAGAGGCAGTGATTCTAGAAGTTCACAGTCTGAGTTCCATTGCCTCCATCACACCCACACAGACACACGCGCACACACACACACACACACACACACACCCTACATAAGCATATAAAGTCACAAAGACCCCTGTGTCAGGAAAATAGATTATTATGGCCAGAACAGCAGTAGCAAAATAAGTATCTTATTGCTGGCTTCCTGAGTCCAATTTTCACAGACTACATAGTGAGAACCAGATGTTACGAGTATATGCAGTGAGTTTGTATCACAGAAGAGGATCTCTAACATGATGAGACTCAGAGCTTATAAGGGACAACTAGAACATACGCTTTTTCTCATCTCTAGAGGGAGTGAGATACCTCATCTTTACTCTAGAATGCCAAAAATTCCTCTCCAGTGAGGTGAGGTTAAGATCTCCAGATTTATCACCCTGGCATGTAGGAAAATGTTTCCCAGGAGCTAAATCTCCAAATCACTCCAGAGCAATAAATTTCAATAAACATATTGAAATATTTTTATAGTCTTCATTTGAAACTTCCTATTAAACAAATGCATAGGTGACCCAAAACACCCTAATTCATTACTTTATAATGAGACACAGTGGCATTTTGAGCTTGATTATGCACATTTTTCAAAAACCATGGCATTGTACTTCTTTACTTTTTGCAATTACCATGTAAACCCTCAAATGACGTAAGTATGTCATTATCAATGGTACTCTAAAAATTTTTCTTTGAATTCTTAAGCAATCTAAAGGAAAGATTATAAAACTGTTTTTAAATAGTCACATCTTGAAACTAGAGTCCAAATTCTAAAGGATATGTGAAAAAAAATGTGTTTCAGTGGAAAATGATATATTGTAAAGAGTACAACTTTCTGACTTATCTGATTCAGATTCAACAACAGCTATATTACAACTGTGGCAATTATAAATAACTGATAAAATAGAAATAATTATTATCTACAAACATGAAAATTATGACTTATAAAGATTGCATTTCAATTTCTTTTTCCATTGTAGAAGTTAGTTTTGCCCCCATTTGTCTATTCATTTTAAAACTGTTGATCTATAAATGTGTCTGTATGTTTTATTCTTCTTTGAATTAGTTGTAACATCTTACCAGTTTTTCATTAATAGGTTAAATTAGATCTTTAATATGTGTTTATTCCATGCCTGAGAGTCATGGTTTTATCTTTTTTGTTAAAAAATTCTTTAATATGTAAAATAATTTAAAGGAAACAACAGAGTTTGTTGTGTTATGATTTTTAAAATATAATGTCAAATGAAGAGTAAAAGGAAATAATAGAAATTTAAAGGAAGGAATCATCATTGATTTCAAGAGTAGTTAAAGAGTTTAATCAGAGAGGTGGTACTTATAACACAGTCTTTGTAGGAAAATTATGATTGGAAAGGTAGCATTACATTCCAGATGAGGGCAAAGATTGAACAATGGCATTAAGGTAGGAATTTAGATGGGATTCATGGGGCAGTATAATGGATATAGAAAGCAGGCTGATGGGCATGCTTGCATCAACAGAACATGGGAGGCATGATATTAGCTGTTGGAATGAGAGTGAAGGTACAAAAAGTCAGGATAAAAGTCAACTTGTGGGTGATGCTTGGGAAAGCAGTGATGGCCCTATGATGAAATCGCATTTTTGCTTTAGTAGAAGTAGAATTAATTGTGAACCACTACTCATGTAAATATGAGTGGGCCAGCAAGTCATTTGTTTCCATGCTTGTCTACTTTGCTTTATACCCACTCTCTACAATATACTCGACAGGGCAAAATTTATAGTGAAATGAAAATTTCTTGTTTATTAACTTAATCTTGATCTTATACAAATATGCTTGGTAATTTTATTTAAAATAATAGATATTTTCATATATAACCAAGTTATTCTTTCAAATCTTATTGAGATCAGCACATTAGGATCTTTCCTTTGCAATAAAAAATAGTATACTAAGTTTCCTATCTATTAGATGTCATATTAGATGGGGAAAGAGGAAAGTCCTCTATTTTACAATGTTTTAATTAAATTTATTTGAAGAAAACATTACCTAAAATCAGACATATTAATCACATTTCTAAATATGAGCAACAATCCACATTTAGGAATCCTGATATCAGATTATTCACAATGTTTTCTAATTAGTGCTATGAGTCAGACTGAAATACGGTAATACTGAGAATTGTCAAAGAAACTGCATTAGTTTGTGGCATAAGAAAGCACATAACTTGAGTTGGAGCCATGATTTGCTCCCTCACTCTCTGTGGCACTCTGAAGAAGCTATGAAACTTCTCAGTTCCTTGGTTATCTCACTAGTATAATGAGAAGACAAGGACCAGAATTCTAGCTGCTTCAAAATGATAGATGAATATCTAATTCTAAAATTGAGTGACAGTATTTTGATACGATTTGATATGCTGGAAGATGTTTTGGCCTAATATAAAATTAAAGAAAGGAAGAACCACATATTGATACTCAATGTACTGCTCTATCAGGAATCAGTTTATCAGGTTTGATTCGCATGCACACGTGTGTGTGTTAACAACTCCTTTTAAAATTTTTATTTAGCTCTTCTATGTAGTTTCTCCTCTTGGCTTATGCATTAAGTTATTTCTACCTTGCCCTCTTAATGTATAAAACCATCTTCATTAGAGATACTCAAATAAAATGAGGGGTTTTTTTTTTTGGCTTGGTTTTACTTATTACATAGCAGTGCACATAAGATACAAATATTTTTAACTTCTCCAAGAGAACCTTAAAGAAAGCAAGTCACTAACTTTTTGTCTTCTACTGGAAATTGGTGGTCTAACAAGAAAATATAAGTTATTTTTTAAGAACTGTAGTTGGTGATCACCATAGTGACCTAAACAATTCTTACCTTTTCTACAGTTTATTCAAACTTTCATTCATTTTGTTGCCAATTACTTCCCGTATTCTCTATTTCCTATACACTCCCTATTAAGTTACAGCTGTCTAATTTCCACCGCCAATTCATTAAAAAATTACCAGCTTTCTTACCAAATCCAGGGAATGTTTCTGTATTTCTGAATGCTATTAACCAATCTCATTTTCCTAGAAATAATCACAATGCTTAGCTTTGATGGAATTTTAATTTCCTGATACTCATCTTTTTTGCCACTCCATCCTTTGCTTACATTTTCTCTTTCTACCACTTAATTATGAGTATACTCTAAATTTCATAAGTACTCCACTATTCTTTTTTTTTTTAACTTATATCTTAGGTTCAAGGGTACATGAGCAGGTTTTTTACATAGGTAAACTTGTGTCATGGGAGTTTGTTGTACAGATTATTTCATCATCCAGGTGCTAAGCATACTAACCATTAGTTATTTTTCCTGATCCTCTCCCTCCTCCCACCCTCCTATTCTTGATAGGCCCCAGTGTGTGTTGCTTTCCATGTGTTCCTATTATTTAGCTCCCACTGATGAGTGAGAACATGTGGTATTTGGTTTTCTGTTCCTGCATTAGTTTGCTTAGGATAATGGCCTCCAGCTCCATTGATCTTGCTGCAAAGAACATGATCTCATTCTTTTTTATGACTGCATAGTATTCCATGGTGTATATGTACCATATTTTCTTTATCCAGTCTACCATTGCTGGACATTTAGATTGATTCCATGTCTTTGCTGTTGTGAATAGTGCTGTGATGAATATATGCATGCATGTGTCTTTATGGTAGAACGATTTATAATCCTTCAGGTATATACCCAATAATGAGATTGCTGGGTTGAATGGTACTATTGTTTTAAATTATTTAAGAAATCACCACACTGCTTACCACATTGTCTTCTTTCTTATTTCTTCAACTACTTCTCCATGCAAATGATTCCCAAATTAACATATCTATGAACATGCATTGCAGTACTTCCGAGGACATATCCAAATGAATATTATACTGGTATCTCAAACTCAAAGTGTCTGAAACTGAAATTAATGTTCTAGTTAAAGTAGATCCCCTCTCTATCCAAATTATTTGTGTAATTTTCAGTTTTCTAGGTAAAATTTTTGAAGCTATTTAAATTCATTTATTTCTTTTTCTTCTAAGTCCAATGTCTAACTCAGATTTTTATGTTTTTTGTTTAAGTATCTCTCAGGTTTTCCTTTTTCTCTCTTGTTCTGCTATTCACTCTACTCCAGACTTGTGAAGTCATACTTGGATTACTGGAATGTCCTCTTTATTGTCTTTCTTCCATATACCACTGGCCTTGCACTCTCTTTTGGCATAGTGCTCTTCCCAAAGCATTATTGTCATTTTGTCATGCCTTTGATTCAAGAACTACTAATGCAATATTTTTATTTGCTTTCTTCTTCTTTTTAAAAAATGTATGTCATGTATGTCCTTCTTCTCAAAGTAGAATATGAGATAAAATTGTAATTGGATTGTGTGTAACTCAAAAGATAAATGCTTGAATGGATAGATACCCCATTCTCCATGATGTGCTTATTTCACATTGCATGCCTGTATCAAAACATCATGTGTACCCCATATATATAGAACTATGTACCCAGAAAAATTAAAAATTTAAATGAAAAAATTTGAAAGGGGACAAAATTATCTGAATAGTTGAAGATTTTAATTACTTGGGTTCTAAGTAATTATTCTGCTGCTCTAGATTTTTGCATGCTCTTCTACTCTAATTCCAATTCTTTTTTATCTTGTACATTGAAACATTACCAGCTATCAAAAATAGGTCTGAAAAAGTTTTAACTTCATTGCAACTCTATTCTAGTTAAAGTAGATGTGCTTTAGGGACTTAGAAGGTGTTAACTAGCAGTGCATCATCATCTCTCCAGTAGAGGGAGAGTAACAACCACTTACTCATTCTGTCATCAGAGAACCAGGCACTTTAGTGCTTACCAAGTGGTAAATGAATGTTGACAATTTTCTACTTACATTCATTTATAGAAACAGCCTGTTCTTCCCCCAGCACTGTCCTTTTTCTATCTAGTACTAAGATATGCCACTCCCCTTCTGACAGTATAACCCTGAATATAAGAATCTGAATTACATGAAAGGTTCATTAGTGTTACGTTCTGCAGAACTTAATTTGAATAAATCAAATTATATCTTGGTAATGAGACTACTAAATTTTAATGTTCTATTTAATGAGGAGTAAAATACACTCCAAAACAAACTGAACAAGTCTTTCTGACCCAGAAGCTTTTGGCGATTAATGCGGTTAATTGACTGATGTAAAAAATAGGGACAGTTGTGCATTATTCAACTAATTTTTCAGGAACCTCTGGAGCAAGCCAGATGTTTAGGATAGAATGGAAAGCATTCCTAATAACCTGGGAGAGCCAGAGGAAATAAAGAAGTCTCAACTATGACTGAAACACAGTGTAGGATATGGCTAGCTTGTTTGTAAAGTCACAAAATCATATGGTAAAAATCTAAGTGTTTTGGGGGGTGTGCTTGGTTGGAGTCAGGTGCTGATATACAGTGGATTGCCTGACATCCTACTATTTTTTTATTTGTCATTAAGACTCTGTATGCACTTCTGTTTCAACTAATCTTTCCCTTGCAAAGTAAAATGGAAATAGATTAGTTATAAGCCAAGATACCTTCTTTTAGAGATAATGGAACTTAATTCTTCCAGTGAACTCATTGCTTTTACTACATATAGGAAAAGGTCGACAAACAAAAGAGAATATCTTGAACATATGATGAAATGTATATGGTACAAGGGGTATTACCTAGGGCTTGAATTACTTTATGAAGTAATTTAAATATGTGTTTTTGGTCTACTATGTTGTCATTGTAAATTTTCTAGGTACGTGAATTATTGCTCATTTTATACTTGACAGTTAACCTGGGTTGTAACAGCTTTTCTCAAGTTAACAAAAACATTTGAACTTCGTATTACATTTTAAAATTTTGGAGTGTTTTTAAGAAAATAACCCATACGTTCACCTAACAATGATTTCTGCACTTTCTTTACTCTGTAGTTGTCAGTTAATAGTTGCGTGTGCTTGTATTCTGCAAGACAAAAGGATATTCAAATAGCAATATGATGACGATCAAATTAGCTCTTGGAACATGAGCATTGCCATATACTGACACTACTTCTCTGTGGTATTTTTTTTTTTTTGACAGAATAGAACAAAATTTCCTGCTGAAGTACATTTAATCTAGTTGGAGTGAAATTTCTGAAAATAAATATGAATACATTAAGAATTCATATATCATTTATATTTACTCATAATTTTCCATTTAAAATGTCAAATTGTATTGAGTTTTTTAGAATTCCATGTAGTCGTGGTACTATACAATATGATGTGTGAAAAGTATGACAGAGTAAAGAGAATAAGATATTGATGTTATTATTTCTCTTCTATATTGAATAACATCAGTTTCAGTTGCTGTATTAGCTAACTCCATTAACACTAATTTTGAACTAGTATATAGTAATGTAGGTCAAGGTAAGGCAGAAATAACTGGAAAAGAGTATATACAATTTGTGCTAATTGAATACCAACCAAAGGCATACATGCCAATCTAGTCCTGAAGAAAATTCCATTTACATAATGGTTTGTTGAAGGCAGCAGTTTTGAGGATAGATTAAAAATAATATGTGAAGTCAGGTTTCCATTGCTAGGTTTGCTAATGCAAACTTGAAAGAGGGTGAAAAGGATGGCATGCTACCATCTTGGCTTGAGATGTTCCCATTCACTTTGTCCATTTAAATTCACTTTTTATAGTAATTTATTATAGATTACTTTTACTTCAAAAATCTGGAATGTTGCTTTTCGCAAATCATGAGGAACTGGTAATAAAACAAGTAGTCATGAGTGTCATTGCTCTTTGGATTTGAGGGTTTTCTTTCAAGACTGAACTGTTGTACAATCTTTGGTTTGAACTTCATTCAATTTAGTCATTATTTGCCACTATTCATTGTGGATACTCAAAATAATGAGCAAGCAGTACAGTCTAAGCACCAACTAATTGAAGCAGATACTATAAACAATCTGTGCTGGTATCAAGGTGTTCTAACAGAATATTATACCTGCCACTTTTACTAAATTGTATTGTAGTGACAGCTCAGTAGCAACACACTAAACCTTCCACATTCTACTCTCTACCCTTGACACACTGTTCACTCCCATTCTTAACTGTTCACAGATTTTTTTCCTACAACATTTGAGTCCTCTTCTAACTTTTATCACAAATGTTTTGCCTCATTTCAACTACCATAGAGCCATATTTGGGCATTTTTTGTCTCCTTATCTTGGTAACATTAAATACCATATATATATAATATTATGTGTGTGTGTGTGCATGTGTGTGTGTATATATATGTTTATATATGTTTATATGTATATATACACATATATATGTGTGTATATATATGTTTATATGTATGTATATATACACACACATACACACACACACATACTATAGTTTAGATATTTGTCATCCACCAAATTTCATGTTGAAATTTGATACCCAGTGTTGGAGGTGGGGGCCTAATGGGAGGCGTTCAGGTCATGAAGACAGATCCCTCATGAATGTCTTAGTTCTGTCCTTATGGTAATGAGTGAGTTCTAGCTCTTAATTCCAGCAAGAGCTGGCTGTAAAAAAATAAAAGCCTGGCATCTGCCTGCCACCCCTTTGCTACTTCTGCACATGCTGCCTCCCCTTCACCTTCCACTATGTATTGATGCAGCTTGAGGCCCCCATCAGAAGCAGATGTTGTTGTCTTGCTTCTTCTCAAGCCTGCAGAATAATGAGCCAAATAAACCTCTTTTCTTTATAAATTGCCCAGGCTTATGTATTTCTTCCTAGTAATACTTAAGTTTTTCCAAAAGAAAAACCTAAGAAAAAAGATTTACACAGAGTAAAAAATAAGATGAAAGTTTAAAAAATATGTAATTTAAAAATGTATTGGCTATAAGAAGCATAATGTGCACTTACTGAGGCTTAAATAAGAGGTTTTTTTTTTTTTTTTTCCCCAAATAACTAGTTTTCAGAGAGTAAGATGCAGGCACTTGTTTAGTATCTTAACAAGGTCAGGGCTTTGAATAGTTATCTCTGCAATTTTCCTGACTTTTTCTCATAATCATAATATAGTTTCAATGGTTATATCTACTACATTTCATAAAAATGCACCCAAAGGCACAAAAGAGGTAGTGTCATGGAGTAGAATTTTTCTCCCATGCCCATCTTGTATCTGAAAGGGAAGCACTCCACGCCAGAAAAATTATCCTTATTTTTTATAGGACAGAACTGGATCACATGTCTGTCAGTAAGCATGTGCCCATTTTCCTAGAGATCAAGGAATTTTTACCTGATACTTAGAGAGCCAGGTGGGAAGGGGAGGGGGGTTCCCTGGAAAATCCCCGGAGAAACTTCATCCAGCCTGTGCAATGGGAATGTGCACTGGGGTGGAGCCACACAGCTTCATGCCATTTGCAGCAGGGAGGAGCCTGGCCCTTCCTCTTCCTGTGTGGAAACTGGAATTCAATTTGCTTGGTGAGAAGCCCTCTAGCAGGGGCTCTGGCCTTTCAAGAGTCTCTGTTTCCCCCTTTTCTTCCTTTTCACCCAATAAAACCCTGTCTTACTCATCATTCAAATTGTCTGCGAGCCTGAATTTTCATAGCCGTGGGAAAAAGAACGCCATCTTTAGCCGAACTAAGGAAAAGTCCTGCAACATTTTTAGCGCCCAACGTGGAGGTCGAGAAACGGTTAGTGAAATGGGGACTCAAAACCTCTCGGTGTCACTTTTAAGCCTTTAAATCCTTGGACTTCTGAGCTTATGGGAAACTGCACCCCCACGCTCTGTTGCTCCTGGGGATCTGGAACTAACCCATCCTTTCCATGACCTTTTCTGTCCTTCTTCCGGAGGGACGGGCAAGCAGAGGTTCCCCTCCACCCTCCCCTGCTTGCTAGAGCTCGGACGCATGGCCCAACGTGCCATGGGCAGCTGGCTGGCGTTTTCTGCCACGCACCAATGGAGTCTCCTCCTCCCAGCATCAGGGAGGTCAGCTCCAACCCACATCAAATAAACTTGTCTCCCCAGTGGAGGAACCATTTGCATAAGAATAAGAGATTCTTCCCCAGATATTTTTAAGCTGTTTCTTTTTCTTTCCTCCTTTCCACCCTGTCAGCAGTTAATCTTTAAAGTTTTTTTTTTTTTTTTTTTCTAGAAAATGTTTTACTAGGCCAGGCCCCCCAGCTATCACTGTGTATATTCTCTGTAAAACTTTAATTGTGAAAAAGTATTTGTGGGGCTGGTCTTGGGCTGCAGCCAATCTGGTGTGCTTTGCATGTCTGTATGGTTTGTGCTGCAAGCCTCCATCTTGTTTTACATCCTGGAGGCATGGCCGGTAACCACTTGGCAAGGCTTTGTTTAGCAATCCTACCTTAGGGGATGAGCCCTTTCTGGTTCAATATCCGCATGTTTTCCTAGCCCTGTCTCTTAAAGGGCCCCACCCGGTGACTGGGTATTCTGCCTCTCAGTGTGTATATTGTCTGTAAAAAGAGCTCTAATTAATTTGGCCTAAAGAAAGACAAGAACTTGGATATAATATTTTGTAAATGGAATATAAAATCGGTGTTACATTTCAGTTCACGTGACTTTATTCTCTAAGAAATGAAACCAGCTCTTAATACTATTGGTAAAATGCAGGTCAGATGCAAGATTTGCTAAGTGTTTTGAGGTTACAAACTGCTTTTTGAGTTTTGAGAACTATTTGACTTGCACGCTTCACAATTGGTAAGGCCTGGGACATATGGAACTAACCAAACCCTTAAGAAGGCAAACTTTGGCTGCAGTTAGCACACAATTAAAGCAACTTACCAAGTTTTACCTTAAAGTTCAAAATTGCTAGGAGTTAATTAAAACAACTAGAAATAGATTTACATGCAAGGTATATAAGAACATGCATAATTTACATGCAAGGTGTATAAGAACATGTGTTTTCTAGTAAAAGGTTATAAGAAGGCATGGAAATATAAACTTTCGCCTAGGGTTAAAGGACTGTTTTGAGTTAAATTAGGAAAAAGCTGAAGGTTCAAAGAAGTGGTGGAAGAATTGTGGCAATTAATCTTGCAGAAGAGGTTCTCTGTGTGAACATATTGACTAAATTCAAATAAGGGTATTATATGTTTTTTCTGTAAATTGAGCATTGAAATAAAAGCATAACAAGGTATTCCTAAGACGCTAATCTGCTCTTTGGCAAAATTTGTAAAGGGTTATAAAAGCTTTTTTCTTTTTTAAAACTTCTGGGTCATCATTTTGGCAAAATAAATAACTTATTGTAATCTGGATTCCATTTCATAATATTAAGTGTTTTAAACCTTGAACATTTAACAGCCTTCCCCAAATCAAACTTCAGTTTCAAAATTATCTTCCCTGGCGCTTGGCTTTTTGAATACTGCAGAGGGCCCCTGAAGTGTCCAGAAAAAAGAGGTAAACAGGATTATTTGACGTGTTTAGGTACATGGGATTGCCAAAATGATACTCAATCTTAATCTTTAGGTTGTATGTTCGTGAATAATGCTAATATATGTTCCAAAATTATATGGGATTTGTAAAATTCCAGTGTCTGAGTATATGCTATCAATCATAATTAAGGTTGTTATGTTAAGTTTTTGTGAACCATGGAGATAACCAAACTTTGAATCGTGTTTCTAACTGTAACTACTCTGGACATTTTCATATTCACAGAGAATTGTTGTCTTGTTTGAATCCTTTTCAAAGATGGCTTATAATTAGCTGTAGAACTTTAACAAGTGCTCTCAAATGCAGGCTTCTGATAACTTTGGAGATTGTAACATTGGAATAAAGAAAAATGTACAAGATTCTAAAAGAACTAAAATATTCATGAATATCAAGCAAAACAAGAGTTAACTAAATGGACTGAACTCAAGAAGCTGAAGCAAATATTTTTGACTTTTGCTTGCAATATAGCTGATCCTTGTTTTTTTTCAGATTTAAGTAAACTTACTTTGAAATATTAAAGCCTTTAATAATTAAGAAAGGTATTCACTATTGTGACTTTGTTTCTCTCTGCCTGGTTCCTCTAAAATTTGAAAACTATCTGTGAGTATTCTTATAGCAATATAGTTGTTTGCATCAGTGCTGTAAGGATCCATTTTTCTTCTGAAATGGAACTCAATTGGAGAGAGTGGTTATTTTACCAATGCTTTGATGGGAAGGCTATGCTTCCCTTTAAGGAGTCAGTCTCAACTTGCAGAGCCAATAAAAGCCCAGTGGGGAAACTGGCCTGATACCCTTGTCTACACAGTCCCTATACAGTGTTCCTGACCTATTGTCAGTAAAGAATGTCAATTTCTAATGGGTCCAGGAGCTCCAAGTTTATTACGGGACCTTAAGAGGAAAGGATAAACCAACTCACAGGTATTTGAGGATACAAACCCATGGTTGGCCTCAGCTTTAAAAGGTCTTATCTGAGATTCCTTGTGGAAGAAACTTCCATCAAAGCCAATCCAAAAGGCTTATGTGGAAATAATTATTCTTGCTGCCCTTAATGCAAATAATCAGGCCAAGTATAAGACTAAAGTCTATTTTGCAAATCATTCAGTCCTATGTTTTTTTTTTTAGCAAAATTGAGGACTGGAAAGAGAGAAAATATGTTCCAAAACTAATCATACATTTGCCTTTAAATTCTAAATTCATTAGCGGTTTTAAAGTTTTTGCCTGTATTTTTAGACTAACCCTGCTTCTTCCTGTGAATCAACAAACAATTTCCAGCTGCAGCTCAGAAAGAACAAAAGGGATGGGTAATGTAGAAATCTGGATCAATATTCTAGTTCTGAGCAATTATCCTGCAAATCCTGCCAGGTGATGGTAACAAATAGGATGCCCATCACTTGGAGGTTTCCTTTTTGGGAAAGTAAGACCAAGGGAGCTAACCAAAGTCAAGCACCATGCACCCAAATCCTAGCAAGCATAACTATAGCCACCAGCTATCTGAGTGTGTCACAAGACATCCTTTTCTCTCCCTTGTTGGAAGAGAACTCAATTCCACACTTTCACCTGAGCATTCAGCCCATGCAACCCCCCAGACACATTTTTGTCCCAAGCTTAATCCCAAACTTCAGGTCAAAGCCCTAGGAAGGAAAACTGGATCTGAGTGATCTAGAGGCAAATGATAACAGAAGTTAAAAGGCAGAGCACGGGTGAGTGTGGCTGATTCCTGCCGATTATGCCAAGCCCAGGCTTCTCGTTTCATGGATAATGGCCACGTTAGTATCCCTGGCATAAATGAGGTCTAGGGAACTCCAAGGCTACTGACATCAGGGGAGATGGCGGTACATGGGTAAGAGTGGATGATTTCAACCCCTAAGCCCCCCCCTGCTTCATGGGTGCAAGTTGCTTTGACATCCATGGTGGCACCTGCCAAGGTCACTGGAACTCAGGGGTGCAAGGATGGAAAAGAGAAAGAGGACACTTTTCCCTCTCTCCTTCACTTACCCCTGGGTATCTACCAGGAGGAGAAGGGAACCAGGGATGCCTGCTCGCCTCTTCTAGATGGGTAACCATTCATCTTCAGTCCGTACCCCTTTCCAATGCATCCTGAACCCCTGGGACTCCTTTAAAAGGCACCTTCTTTTTTTCTTTCTCTTCCTTGGTTCTCTCTTCACAGATAGGTAATTGTGTCTTCATGCTATGGGACACTCCCCTCAGATGCATCCTCAGAACTGGAAAGAGTTCATTTTTTAAACCCTAAACTGATTGGCTTAGGATTGGACTCAGGGGAAGGGAACCTAGAAGCCCAACATGCCGGCAGTAGGGTAAAGTTTTTTTAATACCAGTCAGGCTTTTGGCCTCCCTCTCCCTGTGCAAACTGGTAAAAGGCCTTGGAACTTTTAAGCTGTCCTTACCCCTCCCCTTGTTAAGTTTTGATACATGTTTTCCTAGTAACTCGATTTGTCTGTTCTTGCCTTCAGGCCGTCAAACTCCAAATGGTGATGCAACTGGAACCTCTGATGATGGCCCCTTCTGCCGGGAACCCTTAAATAGGCCTCTGATGGAGCCCTGACTGCCATTTCCCCCAAACAGCACCACCTATCAGCAGGAATCAGTTAAGATCAGTCCTCGTCTTATCCTTCATCTAATGGCAGTTAGATGTGCCTCTTTAGAGGAGGGAATGAACTCTGTCCTTGTAAGAGTCCCTGTTTCCCCCTTTTCTTCCTTTTCACACAATAAAACCCTGTCTTACTCACCATTCAAAATGTCTGCAAGCCTGAATTTTTGTGGCCCTGGGTCAAAGAACCCTATTTTTAGCTGAACTACAAAAAGTCCTGCAGCAATACCTTTGAGGAAGAAAAATGAGGGAGTGGTTTTTGAGCAGACAACCGTTTCTGCCACAGATAATACAGGGAGAATGTATATATACACACAGACACGCACGCACACTTTTATACACTTTCTTTAAAATCTCGTTTTTCTTCTTAGAAACTTATCAAAGCCTCTGAGTCAGTATGTATAGTCAAAAATAGGTTATTTAGATAATATTTATTAAATGAAAACAAAGTTCATGAATTTTTTAATCTACTTCAGGTTTTTTTCCAGAGGCTACCTTCCACGTTCTTAGCCTTCTTTCACAATTTAGTTTGTCAGTCATCAAAATTTACATGTTGTACATGTTTATTATTTATTTTATATTGTCTGCATGAGTGAAGTATTTTTTTAAATTAAGGCAAATGTAAATATGGAAACTTTCTTCCAAGATAATAAGTTTCCCTTTGGTTAGAAAATGCTAACATTAAAATGGGGTTTGGCCTTTGTCTCCCTGTGCTGCAAAAGGAGCTTTGCTCCCATCTTTACTGTTACATCTCCTACTCTTCAGAAGGCCCTAGGTTACTCTACCACAGTCTCTGTGGCCCTGTGACCTGCAAGTACTGGGAGATCTGTAGGAAAAATGCAGGGATATGCCAGAAGCTGGGAAATACGACTGTCGTCATTCAGGGATGTGGTCATAAAATTCTCTCTGGAGGAATAGAAATTTCTGGACCCTGTTTAGGGAAATTTATATAAGGATGTGATGTTACAAAACTACAGAAATCTGGTCTCAAGAACAGCCAAGATGGCTGACTGGATGTAGCTAAGAATAGCTTCTTTCCACTCAGGGACCAAGCCTCCAAGAAGACCAGCACACTAGAGCAAATCTTTGGAAGAAAGGCACTGAGAGTGGACAGAGGGAAGACACAAATGCTGGGATGAAGGGGGAGGAAGCCAGAAACCTTGGGTGGGATTTCCAGGCACCAGGACTAGTTCCTGCCCCCAGGCTGTTCTGCAGGAAGGAGTGAGATGAATAGGCATGAAGTGACCCATTCTCACCAAGGACCACCAGAGTCCTAGCTACAGAAGACCCCATGACCCCCACAGACAATTGAGGTGGCAGAGAGCTGCTTGGAGAGTTGGCAGGGATGAGACTTCAGCCTGTGCAGAGCCCATATCATTTGGCGTGGAAACAGCTGTAGTGGAGCATAGCCGTTGTTGCCCATGCCCCCAAATTTACCATACTCTTGGCCTTTGTTGACTGGTGGACCTGGACAAAACAGGGTTATCTTGCTGTGGGAGGGGACCAGTTTGAATGCACCACTGTATGCTGTTCTCTCCCAGAGTCCTTGCCTAGCCACGCTGCTTGCAACACAATCTCTGCTGCCCAACTTAGGTGCTTTCCAAGGGTCACTGCCATAGTTCCTTTGCAGGCAGACCCCACATTACCATTGGAGAGCTTCTGCCCCACCAGTGCACACCTGCCCACAGTGTCCCTCCACTGCTTTGCTGGCACACATTCACACAAAACTTCACCTCACTGCATCTGAAAATTGTTTTTGAAATTTTATTTTTTGAGACACATATTCTGTCTTTCATGGTATAACTTTCTTTTCGGACCTGTCTCAGATTTTCTGGTTTCACATACTAAAACATATAAAATTAAAAACACCAACAAGTACCAAATATTTATGAAAATGTTAATAAATGAAACTACCATGCCTTGCTGGTGGACGTGAAAAATTTTGGAGTCACTTCTGAAAAGGTTTCACAGGTCCTTATAGAGTTAAACATATACCTACCCTATGACCCAATAATTTACTCATAGTTATTTACTTAGAGCAATAAATCATACAAAGGATTACTACTATGCAAAAAAGAAACTATTAATATTTACTTTAAAAATTGATGGATGTAAAAAAATATTAAGTGAAAGAAGCCAGATAAAAATTGTATACACTTTATAAATACACTTTTATCAAGTTTAGGAGTAGGCAAAATCTATTCTTGTTATTAGAAATAAGAATAATGTTTGCCTATGGGTACTATACTTGACTAGAAGTGGGCTTGGGGAAGCTTCCTGGAGTTATGGAAATGTTCTATATCTTGATTAGGATTATGTCTACATGGGTATATAAATTTTTTTTAAAAAAATTTAACTTATGCACTTAAAAGTATGCATTTCACTTTGTTTAAATTTTAACTAAGATAAAAAATATAAAACAGTTATCAGGGATTAGAAACATATTCCGTCCCCATCTTGATAAGAAGACTTCTTTCTTGTTGTCTTAAATTTGTATCCCTTATTTTGCAAATTTTTTCTATAATTCTATAAGAAAGGCATTGGACTAGTATCAGATCATATGTATTTTCATCCTGTCATACTAGTTTAATGATCTTCAGATAATTTCAAAGTTTTCAACATCCATGGGATTATCAAAACTGAAGAACATTGTAAGGTACATAAAAAAGGTTAAACAATTAGAAAATTCCCATAGAATGCCTTGCGGGCCTTATGGATAAAGGCTTCTCTTTGATCAACAATTGAAATTTTTGATCCCTTAATAATGCAAATTAAAGCTTTCAACTTATTTTGCCTGTCATCCAGACTTAGAACATTTGTCCAGAGCCTTATGGAAGTTTATCTTTCTCTTGGTTCACACCCAAAGGTAATTGACTAGGACATTTCCACTGAAGCATCCTTTAGACACCCAAACTATCTTAATAATCCGTATAACTCTATGGGTACACCATTTCCTCTTGATAAAATCACTCAATTTATAAGAAAAGACTGGGTGATGATATTAGCATAAGAAAAATATCATTGACATTTTGAGATTTTATTTTTTCATGAGGTAAAATGATATTGCTCTTTAGAAACTGTGCCTCCTTTAAAGTAGTATAGTTAGCAATAGTCCTGAATAGGTATCAAAAGTAGACAAAATCCTCTTAGGAAATTGCAGCCAGGTAACAAACAAGTTCATTGTGGCTATAGTCACCCAGTTTTGAAGAAGTAGGAAACTTTTTCTACTTCATTGTTCCTTTCACATATTCTTAGGAAAATCTATTTTATTCAATCACAGTAAAGAACACCTCCGGCTGCTGATAAATTTTTTGAACACCTTCTTAGTATAAGAAGCCCCATGTGACCTGATGCAGTGTATTATTCAGGCAGACTAGAATTTTTCCATATGGAAAATGTCTTTATTGTCAGTTCCCTTGTTAAATCAAATACAAAAGCTGTTTTGGAGCCATTCTATTGTGTTGTAACTAGGTCTACCTGTACAGCAATTACATAATCTATAGAAATCTTAAAACTTTGTATATATATATTGTTATGATTTTCCATCCTGTTTTTGTTGGATTTATGAAGTTATAAAGAACTTAAAGATTCTTATGCTAGAAAACACCATATGATGTGAAATTTGCAAAAATACTTTATACATCAAAATACTCAGGTAGAAAGTGCCAAGTAGAATGACAAACACAATTTAAGTCAATCTCAAGTTTAGATCATTTGCTGTGTGAGACAATGCAAATATTTACAAATTATTTTCCTTAGGATATTTGCTATTTTTCACATTTTTTGTTCCAGAAGTTTAAAAAATTTTAAGATCACCATTTTTTAATTTATATCACATTTCTCTTAATCTCATCTCTAAATTCCTTTTGCTGCCATTTAAACTGTCACCTGCATCTCAAATGAAGCTTTGTTAGCTCATAAGAAGCTCTTTTATTTTCAAGTCTAATAGTCTCAAGAGTACTCCCAAAGCCATTACCAAAAATATACATATTTAGAAGGGCTGGCTATTAAAGGAGCACTGAAACCTCAATTTTACTTTGATATAAATGGAAGGACATGGTTGTTTTTAAAATATTTTTCTAAGAACATTCTTTATAATAATTTTACTTTCATCAACTTTGTTTTGTCACTTTTTTTTCCTGAAAATCCTTTTCAGTTAAAATACAACCTAGAAGTGAGAAATAGACTCACTTCCAGCTCAAATAGCTTTTTCCTAACCTATTCCTTAGTGCTAAGTTGCATAACTAATTTTCACATATTTACTTAGTACACTTAACACATATTTAGACACTCAAAGATACACAGTGCAAAAAAAACTACTACTACTATGTATTATTCTGATAGTATCTAACAGAGAGAGCTCATCTGTGTCTGAAAACTCATGTTTTTTAAAAAATTATGAGGTAGATGTCATTATTACCCCCATAATGTCACACGGATAGTAGGAAACAGATTCAATCCCAGGCTTATGTGACTCCAGCACATGTGTTCTTAGGCAGCCATGAGAAAAATGGCTGTTTTATTCACTATTGTATCTCCCAGTGCCTATGATGAATAGTAGGTTTTCAATAAATAGTTGATGAATGAGTGACTGATAACTGTCCTCAAACAATTTACAGCTTATTTGGAAAAAGGTGTCATATATAGTATATGTCATACAAAAAGTTATATAAGGAATCACAAGTTAAATATCACACATTGTTTGAAAACCGTATTTAAAAATATTCCTAAAATTTGAGATTTTGTGAAGAGTTGTTGTGGTATGTTTTGGTAGGGAGGAAAAATAGTTGGGAAAGGAAGTTTTCCTTGGGTCTCTAAATGGATGGCAGTCTTCATTAAAAGTTGATTAGCCAAGTTAGGGAGGAAAGCAATGTAAGAATAAAACAGGTCCACATATGTGGTCCATGAAGATGAGTAAACAAAATTAAAAAATCAGTACAAATAGTTGTGAATGTGATACCCTTCTATAAAATGAGATAATCAGTTGCCATTTAAAAACTTTCAAAATATCTTGTCTAATTCAAAAAGTACAACTATATATTTTTGTTGTACAGAATATTTTTAAATTTTCTTTTACTACACTTATATACTCTTCTCAAATTCATAGAAGTCTTTCTAAAGCTGTGCTTTTCTGGATTACATACCAAGCATTGAAAAGTAATGTTTCTAAAATATACTTTCCCTGTCTATATAATGCCTTCCAGACAATTTATATTCAATTTTCACCTAAGATTTGATTCAAGTTATTTCCAATTATGTTAAATATGTCATGTTGAAACAAGAAATTTCTCTGCAGAAGGTTTAATTTGACTCAATCTTTGGTGCAGAAGGATTATTTATAGTAATGCTTTGACTTAAATTCGTATGTGAAAAATAAGCTGTAAAGACAGAGGGAAAGCGTAAGCAAAAACCTATAGGAACATTTTATAATTTTTTTCTAAAGTCAGGTCAATATCATTATTTTTTAACAGCTTTTTGCATTATGATCAGGTTTTAATAATTAAAATTAAAGAAATGAAAAACGCAAAAATCAAATAAAGACCTAGATAATGATTAAGGAACATCAACATAAAATAAGTTACAACAAAACATTGTATTAAAATGGAAAAAAGAACCGATATATCCTTAACAGAACCCCAGAAATGTTCAGGACCTGGAGGAAGCATTTATAGTAAAAGTGCAGAGTGGAAAATAGAAAGATTCTTAGAAACTCTATTATGAGAACACATTTTCCAGCAGTACAATGGAGTATAGTAAAAAAGAACAAGACATTGGATTCATTAAGATAGGATGTTCAAAGTATTTATCAACAAGGATTGCAAGGCTAATGAGAATGGATTCTCAACCAATGAAGGGGGAAGCTGGCTACTCTGTTGTAAAGGTTTGTACCAGCTAAATATCAGTTCTGGGTTTAGGAACTATTGAGTCTCACTCAAGGAGGGTCAAGAATAGTCCCATGGTAGCAGCTCTATGGCCAGCTTAGAAAAAATCTGTCCATATAAAAGAAGACTGGTGAAAACCTCTGGAAAAAGATGTTCAGGAAAATTAAACTCAATAGAGAAGATGCTATGGTAAATAATATGATGGAGTATCTGGAATAAAATAAGGATATCTGGAAAATTATGAAAGGCAAGAAACAGCCAAAAATAACCTAAAGAAATTAAAAATGTAAATAAATATATCTGATAATAATCTATACCCAGCAAGTAATGTTGGCATAATAATTATATGCTTGCTGTTTAATAATTTAAGTAATATTGTGCTATATACGTGTTATATAGATATACACATATGTGTGTATAAACATATATACAAACGAGATGAGGGACAGTAAGAAAGAGAGAGGAGGTACAAGACAGCTAAATCTTAATTTATTATAATAGAAAGTCAATAATGCTACCTGGAAATAACTAAAAGAGCATAATTGAATTGTTCGTGACACAGAGAATAAATGCTTTAGGGAATGAATACACTATTTTGCATGATGTGATTGTTATTCATTGCATGCCTTTATCAAAACATTTCCTGTACTCCATAAATATATACACCTATTAGGTACCCACAAAAATTAAAAAATTTTAAGAAGACTATGTGAAAATGTTTAAAATTAATGAACCCAAGAAAAGGCTTTATTATATGTATATTGCTTAGAAATATGGACATCATTATTAGATGAAACAACTACAAAAATTAAAAGTATTTGCCTTTGGAGATCAGGGCTAGGATGGATGAGAGCAAGAAACCACTATATTTCATTAAAAATTATGTTTATAATTTATCTAGACACATTCAACCTCACATAAAAAAAAAGAAATAAAACCAAAACGAACCAAACAAAAAAAAATTAGAAAAAGAATAAAACAGAAACTTTTACAGAAGTGAAAAGCAAGAACTCATTGAAAAGCATTACTCTGTGGAAACTGAAATGGCCAGGGCAATTCTCTTTCATTTTCCCCTAATCTCACTAACCACATATATATATATACGTATATATATATATATATATATACACGTATATATATATGTGTATATATATATGTATATATATATATATGTATATATATATGTATATATATATATACATATATATATATAGAGAGAGAGAGAGAGAGAGGGAGAGAGAGAGAGAGAGAGAGAGAGAGAGAGGTATTCATAAATCTGAATGCCTCTTAAAAGAAGAGATTCAGGTGGTAGAAGTGACTGTGCTCTCTGGGCATTAGGTAGGTGCCAAGGAAAATATCCTCAGTATACAAACTGACAATTTTAAAATTAATTTGAGCACTGTGTCCCTGAAAAACAATGACAGTTTAAAAACCTTTCCCTATTTTGTGTTTCCAGAAATGGCTTACTGCAAAGAATCATACTTACTCCTGTAACTTAGATAAGACTCTAGATACCCCACTTATTTATTTATGACAAGGATAGACAAAGACCTTTCAAATTTTCATTATTTGCCTAATAGAACCTACTATGCACCCCCAAAAATTAAAATTCTAAATAAATAAACAAAAACAAAATAATAAGTCTTCTAATAAAGATATATAGAAGTTAATCTTCAAAGAAGATTGGATCTTGTTCCTCACTGAGCTAAGCTATAGGATATTCATGAAACCACAGAGCTCAAAATAATAATAGCTAACATTTACTGAGTTCTGAAAATTGGTGAGATGCTATTTACTTATTAGTTAATGCTTGCAACAACAATATGAGTAGGTACTATTATTAACGTCTTCTCACAGGTAAGCAAACTGAGATACAACGGGTTAAGTAACTTTCTAAGGTCACAAAACAAAGAAGTAATAGAGCTAGAATTTGAATTCAAGCAGTTTTAACTCTGTAAGTCTAGTTCTTAACCATTGTAATATACAAGCAGCATGGTAATAGCCTTCATACTTCATGCAACACCTTCTTCTTTGTATAGCTCTACTGTACTTGCACTCAAAAAAAGAAAACGCGATCTTTGAAATTAGAATTCAACATGTGATGTAATTTAACAGCATTCTCAAAGTAAAAGGCTTGAACATAAAATCAATCCAGGTTTCAACAATAGTTTTATTCATATGAATCTTGTATGGGTTTTTATTTTCTTCTTGCTTTTTTGTATTTTCTAATTTTTCTATAGTGAAAATGAATTGTTTTTATAAGAAGGAAAAATGTTGAAGGTATTGCTTAATTTAAAATATTCTGCCTATGCTGCAATGAGCCAGATTGCTTTTTTTATATGCCAGTTCTTCAAGGGCTATGCCATTTCCTTGTTGCTATGCCCACAGGGCTTCTGTTTCTGGTTTATAGGTTCTTTGATTATAGAAGTTGAATCTCCTTTCCAATGCACTTTTCAAAATTTATTATGTTTAGTAATCACAAGGGCTATTAAAAATTCAGATTCCTGGCTACCCCAGAAAAGCCTCATTCTGTTTTCAAAATCTGCATTTTTTAAACAGGCACTTCCAGTGTTTCTGATGCCCTTGGTCAAAGGATAGAGTGCCCATCAGATTTGCAATGTGTAATCCCAACTAAAGTACTTTGGAGAATGAAAAAGAATCTGAAAATATTAAAATTATATAATTAAAAAATGTGTATGCATTAACTGACAAATTAGCTTCACTGTAGTGGTGTGTCTATAAACTAGTTTTATTTAAAAACTATTTTTTTAAATAAAAATATTCAGTATTTGTCCTTTGCCTGGTTTATTTCACTTAACATAATGTCCTCTGGGCTTAGCCATAATCTCACTAAAATGTGGAATCTAAAAAAGTTGATTTCACAGAAGTACAGAGTCAAATAGTGGTTACCAGAGGCTGGAGAGGGTAGGAAAAAAGAGAAAGATGAAGAGAGTTAGAGTTAGACGTGAAGGATAAGTTTTGGTGTTCTGTTGCACAGTGAAGTGACTATAGTTAATGATAATATATTGTATATTTCAAAATAGCTAGAAAAGATGATTTTAAACATTCTCATCATAAAGAAATGATAAATGTTTGAGGTGACAGACATACTATTTACCCAGATTTGATTATTACACAATGTATGAACATATCCAGACACCAAATTTTACCCTGTAAATATGTACAGTTATAATGTTTCAATTAAAAAATACAAGCTAAAATAGCATTAAAGACATGTTTTGCTGTAAAATGTTTCATTTAGAACTTAGAAAGGCATAAATGTTTTGATTATAAAGCAAATGATAAAGTTACTCCTATTTCTACCATGAAAATAATCACTGTGAAAGGCAGAAAAGGAATAAATCATGCAGTTGGAATTAAGAATAAATTATATGCACACCAAAAAATAGTAAAATTATTTCAAAAGTAAGACAACATATTTGTATATTAAACTAATGTTAAAATTAAACTATATAATGTCTATAAACATTAAAAATAAGTTGAAAGACTTATTCTTGGTACATTTTCATGTACTTTAATCAGTTTCTTAGCTATATCTGTCTGTAATATCATGCAATTGTGTTTTCCAAAATGAAATACATTTTAAATGTGGTCTCATTCTTTTAATTTTTTTCCAAAACGTTCTTGAAAGTTGCATTTCATGGTTAATAAATTGGAAATGTTTTATATCATCAATTGATTCTTCTCTTCACTCTATGATAGTTATATTGAGACAACACTCTGTCAGTAACTCCTGAGTACCTGAAAAACCCAGAGAAAATTCTACTAAATGTAATATATTACTAATTATATTGTTTGAATTAAAATGTGCATTTGCTTTAGTTTAAATATACTATTTTGCCTCTATTCAGAGTATTATTTTTGACAAATATTTTTACAAGACAAAATGCATTGAAAACTTATTTTCTTTATTAACCTTTTTAATGTTTTACCAAATTTTGATGTTACAAAACTCTAGACTTCTCTATTTTACTCTATTCTGGTAAAGAATATAAATTTAACCAATTAAAATAGTTGCTCCTTTAAAAAATTACAAATTAATATATTACAAAGTGCCATTATAGAATTACAGAACTTCAAAATTAATTTTTTAACAAAATTTAAGTTCAAATGAGCTAGTTCAGACCCCTTTCTGTAATAATAAATTTCAACATTTCTGTTTACAAGTGTGTTAGTATATTTTGTATTGCCATGAAAGAATACCTGAGGCTGGGTAATCTGTAAACAAAAGAGGTTTATTTGGCTCAAAGTTCTGCAAAATGTACAAGCATGGCCCAACATCTGCTTGGCTTCTTCTACGGACTCAGGAAGATTTCACTCATAGCAGAAGGCAAAGGAGGAGCAGGCATGTCACATGAAAGAGAGGGAGCAAGAGAGAGAGAAGGAGGTCCCAGGCTCTTTTAAGCAGCCAGCTCTCATGTGAGCTAATAGAGTGAAAACTCACTCATTACTGTGAGGACAGCACCAAGCCATTCATGAGGGATCCACCTGCATGACACAAACAGCTCCCATTAGGCCTCACCTCAACATTGGAGGTCCCATCTCAACATTAAATTTGGAAGGGACAAGCATCCAAACTATATCATTAATTTGCTTTTAATCATTGTGATTCATTAAGTTTGAAAAGACACATTTTTTGGTGTTTTGTTTGTTGTGCATTAAATATTTCCAACTAAGATCAATAAAAATTTAAGCAAAATTTAAATAACTCATTTACAAAAACTAACTCATTACAATTGTAAGATAGGTGATCTTACAAAATAGTTATTCAAAACAATAGTTCTTTGAAAGTAGTTCTTCAAACATTTCTAAACTCTGATGATGTACAGCAAAAAGAGAAAGCAGGTACATGCAGATGTAATTTTGGGTGTCCATCACCTAAGGTATTTATCATTTCTGTGTTCTGTGCCCAGACACAGCATCATTTATTGACTTGTGTGTCCTTTTCCTAATGAATATTCTTGATGCTTTTTTCAAAAAAGAGTTGGCTGTAAGTACATGGACTTATTTGATTTCTCTATTCCATACCCTTTGTCTATGTGTGTTTTTATATGTATGTCATACTGTTTTGGTTACTATAGCCTTGTAACATATTTTAAAGTTAAGTAACGTGATGCCTCCAACTTTATTCTTTTTGTGCAGGATTGCTTTGGCTATTTGGACTCTTTTAGTTTCATATAAATTTGAGAATTTTTTTTCTATTTCTGTGAAAACTATCATTAGTGTTTTGATAGAGATTGCATTGAATCTTTAAATTGCTTTGGGTATATGGTCATTCCAACAATATTAACTCCTCTGTTCCATGTATATGAGATGTCTTTCCATTTGTTTGTGTCCTCTTTAGTTTCTTTCATCAGTGTTTTGTAGTTTTCTTTCCAGATGTCTTTTACTGCCTTAGTTTACTTTATTTCTAGGTATTATGTTTTTTAGCTATTTTAAATGGTTTTGCCTTCTTGATTTCTTTTTTCAGCTACTTTGTTATTTTGAATAGAAAAACTATTGATTTTTATATTTTGATTTTGTATCTTGAAGTTTTCCTGAATTTGTTTATCAGATCTAAAAGTATTTTGTGAATTTTTTTAGTTTTTTTCTGAATATAAATTCATGTCACTTACAAGGAGGAATTGATATGACTTTGTTGTTTTCAGTTTGGATGCCTTCTATTTTTTCTCTGGACTGATCACTCTCGTTTCCAGTACAATGTTGAATATGGGTGGTGAAAGTGGGCAGTATTCTCTTTTTCTAGTTCTTAGAGAAAAGAACTAGAAATTTCTTTTTTTTTTTCAATTCAGTGTGATGTTAACTGTGGGTTTGTCATGTCTGGCCATTATTATGTTGAGGTATGTTCCTTCAATACCTAGTTTGTTGAGAATTTTTATCATGAGGAGTGTTGAATTTACTCATGCTTTTTCTGCACCTATTGGGATGATCAAATAGTGTCTGTTCTTCATTTGGCTGATGTGATGTATTACATTTATTGATTTGTATATGGTGAACCATCCTTGCATCCCTGGGATAAATGCCACTTGATCATGGTTTATTGGCTTATTGATGTGCTGTTGGACTCAGTTTGCTGTTATTTTTTGAGAACTTTTGGATCTAAGTTCATCAGGGATATTGCACTTTAATTTTCTTTGTTGTTGTTGTTGTGTCCTTGTGTGTTTTGGGTATCAGTAATACTGGCCTCATAGAATGAGTTAGGGAGAACTCCCTCCTCTTGAATTTTTTGGAGTAGTTTGAGGAGAATTAGTGTTCTTATTTGAAAGTTAGGTAAAATTTAGCTGCAAAACTATGCAGTCCTGGCCTTTACTTTACTGGGAGGTGTCTTATTACTGTTCAGTCTCATATAATTGGTCTTTTCAGATATTTATTTCTTCCTGATTCAATCTCAGTGGGTTGTATGTGTTCAGGAATTTATCTATTTCATCTAGGTTTTCCCGTTTTTTAGTATATAGTTGTTCATAATAGTCTCTGATTACATTTTTTAAAATTTTTGTACTATCAACTGTAATGTTTTATTTTTCATTTCTGGTTTTATTGGGCCATCTGTCTTACCAGTGATTTATGAATTTTGTTTATTTTTTCAGAAAACCAACTTTTATTTTGTTGATTTTTTTATTTTCATTTTTTTTTTTTGGTCTTTATAGTGTTTAGTTATCCTCTTGTCTTTGTTATTCCTTTTCCTTTACTAATTTGGGGTTTTAAATGTTCTTGCTTTTCTCATTCCTTGAGGTGCATTATTAAATTCTTTATTTGGAATTTTTCTACTTTCTTGATGCAGGTGTCTGTTGCTATAAAATTCTCTCTTAGCACTGCTTTTGCTGTATCCCATAAGTTTTGGTATGTTATATTTCTACTTTCATTTGTTTCAAAGATTCATAAACTATTATCTTAATTTTTTTTTGTACCATGGTCATTTTTGTTATAGATTTCTAATTTTATTTCATTGTGGTCTGAGAACGTACTTGGTATGATTTTATTTCTAAAAATAAATTTAGGCTTGTTTTTTATCTTCATAAATGATCTACGCTGGAGAATATTACTTGTGCTGATGCAAAGAATGTGTATTTTATAACTGTCGGATAAAATTAAAAAAAGAATTCTAGCATTTTGGGAGGCCAAGGTGAGTGGATCAGCTGAGGTCCAGGGTTGGAGACCAGCCTTGCCAAAATGATGAAACCCTGTCTCTATTAAAAATATAAAAAAATCAACCAGGCATAGTGGTGCACACCTGAAATCCCAGCTACTAGGGAGGCTGAGGCAGGACAATTGCTTGAACCAGGGAAGCGAAAGTTGCAGTGAGCTGACATTGTGCCACTGCACTCCAGTGGGCAACAGACTGAGACTTTGTCTCTAAATAAATAAATAAATAAATAAATAAATAAATAAATAAATAAAAATATACATTTAGTCAATTTGGTCTAAAGTGCAGTTTAAATCCAATATTTCTCAATAATTTTCTCTCTAGATGATCTGCCTTATGCTGATCATGGGTGTTAATGTCCAAAACTATTATTGTATTAGAGTCTATCTCACTCTTTTGATGTAGCAATATTGGCTTTATATATCTGGGTTTTTTGATGCTGGGTGCATATATAGTTAGAATTGTTATATCTTCTTGCTGAATTAATCCCTTTATCATTATATAATGACCTTCTTTGCCTTTCTTCTACTATTTGACTTAAAGCTTGTGTTATCTGATATAAGTATAGCTATTCTTCCTCATCTTTGACTTCTGTATACAAGTAATATCTTTTCCCATCCCTTTACCATCATACTATATTTGTTTTTACAGGTGACAAGAGTTTCTGGTAGGCATCATATAGTTGAGTCAATATTTTCTCCACTCAGGCAGTCCATATATTTTAAGTGAAATATTTAATTGGTTTATATTCAATGTTATTATTGATGTTTGAAGGCTTGATATGGTTTGGCTGTGTCCCCACCCAAATCTCATCTTGAATTGTAGTTCCCATTATCCCATGTGTTATGGGAGGGACCAGGTGGGAGGTAATTGAATCACAGCAGTGGTTGCGGGGGGGGGGTTTACCTCCATGCTGTTCTTGTGATAATGAGTGAGTTCTCAGGAGATCTGATGCTTTTATAGGGGGCTTTTTCCCCTTTTCCTTGGCATTTCTCCTTGCTGCCACCATGTGAAGAAGGACGTGTTTGCTTTCCCTTCTGCCATAATTGTAAGTTTCCTCAGGATTCCCCAGCCATGCAAAACTGTGAATAAATTAAACCTCTTTTCTTTATAAACTACCCAATCTCGAGCAGTTCTTTATAGCATGTGAGAATGAAGTAATACAGTAAATTGGTACCTAGGGACCAATTGGTAGCGAGGGAGTGGATGCTGTTATAAAGATACATGAAAATGTGGGAGCAACTTTGGAACTGGGTAATGGGCAGAGGTTGGAAGAGTTTGGAGGGCTCAGAAGAAGACAGAAAAATGTGAGAAAGTTTGGAACCTCCTAGAGACTTGGAGGGCTCAGAAGAAGACAGGAAGACGTGGGAAAGTTTGAACGTTCATAGAGACTTGTTGAATGGCTTTAGTAAAAATGCTGATAGTAATATGGACAATGAATTCCAGGCTCAGGTGGTTTCAGGTAGAGATGAAAAAGTTGTTGGAAACTGGAATAAAGTTGCCCCTGCCCTACAGATCTGTGGCAATTTGAACTTAAGAGAGATGATTTAGGGTGTCTGGTGGAATAAATTTCCAATCAACAAACCATTCAAGATGTTACTTGGGTGCTGGTAAATGCATTCAGCTTTATGTATTCACAAAGATATAGTTTGGGATTGGAACTTATGTTTAAAAGGGAAGCAGAGCATAAAAGTTTGAAAAATTTGCATCCTGATGATGTAATAGAAAAGAAAAACCTATTTTCTGAGGAGAAATTCAAGCTGGCTGCAGAAATTTGCATAAGTAAAAGGAGCCAAATGTTAATCACCAAGACAATGGGGAGAATATTTCTAGGACATGTCATAGGTCTTCATAGCAGCCCCTTCTATCACAGGCTTGAAGGCCTAGGAAAAAAATAATTTTGTGGGCTGGACCCAGGGCCTTGCTGCTTTGTGCAGTCTTGAGACTTGGTGCCCTGCATCCCAGCTGTGGCTAAAAGGTGCCAATGTACAGCTCAGGCCATTGCTTCAGAGGGTGCAAGTCCCAAGCCTTGGCAGCTCACATGTGGTATTGGGCCTACGGGGGCACAGAAGTCAAGAATTGAGGTTTGGGAACCTCTGTCAAGCTTTCAAAACATGTATGGAAACACCTGAATGTCCAGGCAGAAGTTTATTGCAGGGGTGGAGCCCTCAGGGAGAATCTCCACTAGGGTGGTGCAGAAGGGAAATGTGGGGTTGAAGCCCCCACACGAAGTCTCCACTGGGGCACATCCTGGTAGAGCTGTCAGATGAGGGCCAACTTCCTCCAGACCCCAGAATGGTAGATCCACCGACAGTTTGCACTGTGTGCCTGGAAAAGCCACAGACACTCAACACAAGCCCATGAAAGCAGCCAGGATGGGGGCTGTACCCTGCAAAGCCAGAGGGGTGGAGCTGCCCAAGGCTGTGGGAGCTCACGTCTTGCATCAGTGTGACCTCAATGTGAGACATGAAGTCAATGGAGATCATGTTAGAGTTTAAGATTTGACTGTGCTGCTGGAGTTTGGAATTGCCTGGGGCCTGTATCCCCTTCACTTTGGCCAATTCCTCCCATTTGGAATGAGTGTATTTACCCAGTGTCTGTAACCCCATTGTATCTAGAAAGTAACTAACTTGTTTTCCATTTTACAGGCTCATAGGCAGAAGGAACTTGCCTTGTCTTAGATGAAACTTTGGACTTGAACTTGTTGGGTTAATGCTGGAATAAGCTAAGACCTTGAGGGACTGTTGGAAAGGTATGATTATGTTTTGAAATGTGAGGACATGGGATTTGGGAAAGTCCATGGGCAGAATCACATGCTTTGGCTGTGTCCTTACCCAAATCTCATCTTGAATTATAGTTTCCATTATCCCCATGTGTTATGGGAGCAACACAGTGGGAGGTAATTGAATCATGGGAGCAGTTACCTCCATGCTGTTCTCATGAAAGTGAGTGAGTTTTTGTGAGATCTGATGGTTTTATAAGGGACTTTTCCCCTTTTGCTTGGCAATTCTCTTTCCTGCCGCCATGTGAAGAAGGATGTGTTTGCTTTCCCTTCCACCATGATTGTAAGTTTCCTGAGGCCTCCCAAGGCCTTTGGAACTGTAAATCAATTACACCTCTTTCCTTTATAAACTACCCAGTCTCAGGCATTTCTTTATAGCAGTGAGAGAACAGACTAATATAAGACTGATTCCTGTCATTTTCTTAACTGATTTCTGTTTGTCTTGTAAATCCTGTATCCCAAGGACAGACTCTCCTACCTACAAATGCTGCCACTGCTGGATGCTGTCACCAGGACCAAATCATGAGCCACTGGCAGTAATTCTGCAACCCCCAACACTGGGGAAGCCACACATTTACAAATACCCCAAGGACAGATGAACTCACCCACAGATAACACCTGCAGCCAAAGCATGCACTCCCCAGCTGCCTGCCTACAGTTGCTCCAACAAAAAGCAAGCCCACGCTCCCCAACATCAGGATCACAGATCAGTGACTTCCACTTCTACCTGAGCATTCCACCAGAGGCCTAGGAATTAGCCTCCCTCTGCCTACAACTTCAGCACCTGTATGCATCACCAAAGAGACACGGACAAGACTGCCTGGCACAACTCCACTTCACCCAGTAACTTAGCATGCTATGCTCTCTGGGGGCCTGAATATTGCCCTTCCCCATCTACTACCACTGGCATCTAGGCAATCCTCTTGTAGGCCTGAGGATGGGCCCACCAAACCTGCTATTACCACCACAGCTGGCACTCACTCTAACATATAACCTGAGGGCCTGGGGACTGGCCCACCCAGCTCATTGCATCCACTGCCAACACCAGTGCATACCGCTTGATTAAATACATTAAAGTAAACTGGGATGTTTGATTAACCTCCACATTGTACTTCTGGCTTCCCCCATTATTTTGTCTAGTAGTGTTCACACATGTAGTGAACAGAGTCTCATTTTACCATTTGGGTAAATCTGAAAAACCCTGTCCAAACAGTGTTAATAACATCTCCTTTTAAGGACAGCATGAAGGATTCTTACTGTTAAAACAAAGTGAGTTGAAGCATGAGCAGCTGGAGATTGCTCACTACTTCTGTCCTCAAGTGGTATTACTCAGAGTAGGCCTGCCAAATGTAGAAATTAACTAGACTGGCAGTTGTTGGGGTAAGTGAGAAATAAAGGCTAGGTAGTTATGAAAGATGTGCTGGACAACGCTGAGCAGTCATGCCATAGAGCTGTCCTCTGTATTTGGTTGTAGCATGGCACTCTTGTTACAGAAGTTTTATCATTTATTATACAGTCTACAACTATTTATTAATTTTATCCTTTGTCAGCTCTTTTTACATTTTGTAATGTAATGAGCACTCTTATGAACCAATAAACTAAAAAGTGTGTGTTTATTGAAAAGTGATGTCAATTTTTCAAGAAGTAGATGATACATGACTCATTCTAAATTAATTTCACTTACATGATTCTAGTTTTTTATATGCAGAAACAAAAAATAAGTAGCATTGGCTGTAAGATGGGGATGTCAGTGGGGCTCTAGGAATGTAAAGATGCAGGGACTGTTGGGCCCCAGGGCAGGATGCAGTGTAGTGGGGACAGAGATCTCAAAGTAATACCAAATTGCAGTTGCTTAGGACTAAGATGGTTTGTGGGACCCAACATGAACTTTCTCTCTAGGGCAATGTTATTGCACAATCTCCAGGTAGCTCCCTATATTACGCTAAGGGCCCATTAGCATCAAGGCATTCTCTCATGGCTAGGATTGCAAGAGTTTCAGGGGGAATGTGGACCACTGGGGATCTCTCACTAACCCTTTACTTGCATTATGGGGGCTCACCAGTCTCCTAGCCAATCCCTGCCTAGCGGGCTGCCTTACTTCCTTTTTCTTCCTTGCTTCAGGTGTTTTCTGTCACTTTGCTGTTGAATTCCAATGTGCTTTCTTAGATAATCTATTAGAAGTATGATTATCTGTTCATTATTTTGAGGAGATAAGTAACAGATGCCTTTGGTCAAACATCTTGAAGCCACTCTGCCGAAGATTACAAAATATTATTCAACACCATCTTTATCACATGAAAGATTATAGTTCAATCAATTACTTTTTGTTAATGTAAGTATTTGTAAATGTTGACAGCTATGTTCTCTACATTGATAGAATATCACAGCATTTTATGAGGCAATTCTAATTTATGTGTGTGAAAGGTAGAGGGTTGTACCACCACTGCTAACATCATCTCTCATCCCATGCCCTCTGCCTGGGAGCTCAAGGACCTGCCCATTCACACACCCACTGCCACCACTACCAGAACCAAGGCAAGATGCCTGTAGGCCCAAGAATTGGCCCACATGGATTCAATAGCACTGGTGACAATGTTTGTCAGCCTGGGGCTCAAGAACAGATCATGATAAAATGTACTCTTACTAAATTATAGATCCTATACAATAATTTATTTGGTATTAATGTGTTAAAATGAAATGTCTAAGCAATAACTTAAAACAGACTGAATCTATCAGTGAACCATTTTTTTGGGAAACACTCTTCTAGAGCTTTCCATGTTGCCTCATCCTCAATTAGTGTTAAATATTTCGTTAGGTGAAGTATCAATTCCTGTTACTGCTTCTCCCACTGTAACCCTTTGAAAAGTTCCAGGTTCTGGGAGCCAATTGAGGGTCTCATAAATTATTTCAACCACAATGGCAAACATAAAAGCAAGCACAGTATAGCTATCTGCCCCAAGATATTTTCTGAAATAAGGGACTGCTCACTAAGGGGTGAGTAAGGGACTTATTGTAGCCCCTTAGTCACCCATTAGTAAGCAATCCCTAGCTGCTCGAAAACAGTAGATTTTATTATTAGTCATCAAATTGTTGTTTATGGTCTTAATTGGACATTTTCTGAGCCTGAACTGTAAAATATGGAACCTGATATCCTATATATACATATAAAATTATATTTTTAATATTTCAATTTGGTCTTCCAGAGAGAGCTTTTAAAATCCCAATGTGTATGTTGTTATGATAATCTATTTTTCTTGTCTTCACAGTACTGGTAGAAAATCTTTTACATCCATATGATGAATCTCAATTTATTTTTTAATTTCTGCAGTGTCAACTATGTCAGCCTTTGGAAATCAAATGACATCAGTAAAATCATAAAACTCCTTGTTTATAGATTTCAGAACATAATGCTTTATCTACTTTGACTTTAATCTGTACTTGAGAGCATTCAAAATTTGGTTATTTATAGGAGTACTGCTTAAGTCTATTTTTGACAAGGGATCATTTAGGTTTCCAAACTTCTTTCTAACTTCTCTTAGAATTTGAGAATTATCTAATAACAGGTCAATATTTATCTTATTTTGTAATCAAATATTAGCAATGAGAGTGTATTGGTGGTGGTGATGATTACATGCACTTTGCTCATTTGAAAACATCAATACCAACATCAAAATTAAACAAAACATTAAAATTAAAACAAAGTTAAACTTTGACATTAAACATTTAGAGAAGGAAGTATTTAAAAGACTATCATAATCATCACTTTTTAAGAGGTCCACTCTGGCACTGTACCAAGCCAGGGATTATCTATCTCTTGATTTCTTCTTACACAATACATTTTAAATTCTGGCTTAAGCCACTCAGTCAATTGTTCCCTTACCTGCAGCTGACATTTTACCGATATATACACACATTAATGTTATAAAATTACTTCTTGGTCTTTCCGCACTACCTACAGAGGGGTCCATAGGGGGTTGTTCTAGATTCCCGTCGTAACTTAAAGGGAAACTTTCACAATGTCCGGAGCCCTTGATGTCCTGCAAATGAAGGAGGAGGATGTCCTTAAGTTCCTTGCAGCAGGAACCCACTTAGGTGGCACCAATCTTGACTTCCAGATGGAACAGTACATCTATAAAAGGAAAAGTGATGGCATCTATATCATAAATCTGAAGAGGACCTGGGAGAAGCTTCTGCTGACAGCTCGTGCTATTGTTGCCATTGAAAACCCTGCTGATGTCAGTGTTATATCCTCCAGGAATACTGGCCAGAGGGCTGTGCTGAAGTTTGCTGCTGCCACTGGAGCCACTCCAATTGCTGGCCGCTTCACTCCTGGAACCTTCACTAACCAGATCCAGGCAGCCTTCCGGGAGCCACGGCTTCTTGTGGTTAGTGACCCCAGGGCTGACCACCAGCCTCTCACGGAGGCATCTTATGTTAACCTACCTACCATTGCTCTGTGTAACACAGATTCTCCTCTGCACTATGTGGACATTGCCATCCCATGCAACAACAAGGGAACTCACTCAGTGGGTTTGATGTGGTGGATGCTGGCTCGGGAAGTTCTGCGCATGCGTGGCACCATTTCCCGTGAACACCCATGGGAGGTCATGCCTGATCTCTACTTCTACAGAGATCCTGAAGAGATTGAAAAAGAAGAGCAGGCTGCTGCTGAAAAGGCAATGACCAGGGAGGAACTTCAGGGTGAATGGACTGCTCCAGCTCCTGAGTTCACTGCTACTCAGCCTGAGGTTGCAGACTGGTCTGAAGGTGTACAGGTGCCCTCTGTGCCTATTCAGCAGTTCCCTACTGAAGACTGGAGCACTCAGCGTGCCACGGAAGACTGGTCTGCAGCTCCCACTGCTCAGGCCACTGAATGGGTAGGAGCAACCACTGACTGGTCTTAAGCTGTTCTTGCATAGGCTCTTAAGCAGCATGGAAAAATGGTTGATGGAAAATAAACATCAGTTTCTAAAATAAAATAAAATAAAATTACTTCTTGGTTTATACATATTAATTGCCATCATTTAGCATTGTTTTCCTTTTCTGTTTACTTCACGAAAAACATTTCCAGAACTCCAAGTTGCTAGAATAGTCTGATTGGTCAAAGTTTTTATGAGGCCAGTATAGTAGATCCTAATAGAGTTATGTTGCCTTGACATTTATTTTGAATATAGGGTTGGCTTTTTCATACCACAAGCAAGGCTTAGTCATCCTTGACACAGTTCCCAGTTCTCTGCCTCCCGTAGTTCCTCAAGCAGATCTATCCATATATCTTTCTTATACAATCACCTCCTACTGACCACATCTTTATGGGACAGCTATATACTACCTGACTGATCCCCACATCCTACACAGGCTTTGCAGATAAGCCATAGCGGTCACTTTTCAGTCACAGTGGGAATCCATGGAACACATGCCTGCATATTCATAACCCACCAATTAGAACTCCACACAGAAAACTTGCTTGGGTAACACCTTGGATCTCAATGAAGGCTTTGGCCCACAGGCTCCTTTTTCTCTCTCTCTTCCTCCCCACCTGTTGGTTGAACCAATGTGTCCCAGAAAGCTTCCCTACTTCCTGTTTTCCCTGTGAGGCATGCTGCCTTCTTCTCTCCGGGATTTGTAAGTAATACACTGCTTCTGTTATCTTGTGCATTTTGTTGAGTTGCCTTCTCTGTGTCACACCTGATTCTCCTCCTGGTCAGGACTCTGCTGTGGAGTGGCTATCTTAGTAGGAATAAACTGGACACAGGTCAGACAAGAACCAAAAAGGATTCTGACAGCCTAAAAATGTTCTTTCTGTGAGGAAGATACCTGGGTATGATCAGGCACAGGCATTTGGTCATCCACCAGGATAAAGAACTATCATGAAAAACACATAAATATTTACCACCAAATTTATGGGAGCCCTATCTGAGCAAAGCTAGAGTTCAAAGCCACTCTCCAGGGAGAGATTTAAAAAAATATATTTGAGAAAAAATACAATGGTCAGACTCTTGAAAAAATTTTCTAGAAGCTGGTGATGCAGTGCCTTTCCCAAAATGACTATTCACCTACTTCCCCTGGAAGACAGCAGCAGTACATTGCTGTTCAGCTTACATTGGCCCCACCTCACCAGATCTAAGTGTATCCTTCTTTTCTATGTCACGCTGTAACAGCAGCACAGAAAGAGAAATCAATGACCACCAGAAACCTGGAGTGAGGCCTTTAAGGTTTAATGATTGTATTGTTAACCAAAGTGTACTTTTACTCTTAAACTACTTGTTTCTTCTTAATCTAAACTTCTTATTTTGTACATCCAAGTGAAAAGAGAAAAATAACTTTAGTTTCTTAAAAGGACATCTGTTTCTTGCCTCACTACTTGTTAAAAAGTGGAAAAAGTTAACTTATTTTGTCTATAATTCCAATCTTTCTCTCATTCTATCTTACTAACTACTTATCCTATGCATCTCAGCTCATCATCATTGTCTGGGGAAACTTTTCTTTAATCAAATCAGGTTTCACACTTTATTTATATGCTCTCATAACATTAGGTAATCTCCTTAATAGCACTTACCATAAAGTACTTTGCAATTATATACTTAGTTCTGTGAATTTTGATTAGCATATCTTTTTAATTATGCTTTGAGCAAGGTCCATAATATAATTGGCTTACAAAGATATCCTAGCACAGAGCACCACGTTTAGAACTTAATAGAAACTACACGATCTGGAGATTGCCAGACTGACTTCACATTGTACCACACATTCCCTTGCTCGCTATGTTCCAGTCACACTGACTGTTTTTCTGTCTCTTGATTCCACTTATTCACCCTGCTTCAAATTTGTGTCCTCTAGATATTTCACATTGTTCAGATATCTGGTTAAATACTAACCCTCAGAGAAGTCTTCCCTGACTGCACCCATTACAAAGAATCATCTCTCTATATTACAAGTCACATTATACTGTTTTAGTTTATTTCAGATGAATACTTTTATTTGCTTATTTTTTTTCCTCTCTTTTCCAGCTATTGGGGAAAAGGTCTTGTCTTACCTTGCCACTGCTATATCTTCATTTCTCAAACAACTGCCTAGCTAACTACTCAATAAAATTTTTGTGTGATGAGTTGTGCTCAATAAATATGTGTACAGCAGTTGAATGAAGTAATCAATTGTTTATATAGCAGAAAATCTTTATCCGAGGAAAAAAGTGGCCCACAGAAAGGTTTGGGTGTAGCTTATCATATTTATAGAGTTGCTAATATGTGTCCATTATAGATTAAAACCAGGGACTTAAAGTACTCTTGGGAGATAATTCATTCTAAGGAAAAAGTAGTTGAGGAAACTAAGCTGTTTGTAGAAAAATAGACCATTCAAAGTAAAGAGTAACTTTGAGTACAACATGGTAAATATCAACTAAATTGTTTCCTGCATCTCAGGAAGAGAAGGCTGTGAAAAAACAGCAGGTAACGGGTACAATTGTACAGCAGGTACAATAATTTGTTGTACATTTTAAAATAACTGAAAGAGTATAACTGGATTGTTTGTAAGACAAAGGATAAATGCTTGAAGGGATGGGCATCCAATTTTCCATGAAGTGGTTATTACGCATTTGCATACCTGTTCCAAAATATCTCATGTACTCCATAAATATATACACCTACTATGTACCAAAAAAAAATTAAAAATAAAAAAATTTTACAAAAAGAATAAAAAACCTTGAGCAGAGTAGGAATGATGAGAGAGCAGAAGACTCTGGTACTGGAAACAATAGTTCCAGCAGTTCCAGCAATGATGATAGGTGATATCTTCAACACAGACACTGGAATTCTAGATATTAGGCATCTGTAGCCTCATCTCAGGTAACAACATGTATTAGAAATAGCATCTCTACATACAGCAAGCTCCAACACCAGTGTTGAGCACTTCTTAGACAATGATTCTATAGTTACTACTATTAGCACTGGCAGCAAAAAAGGAATCAAAGTGAAACGGAGCATTTTTGTTCCTACCTGGCGACTCCAATAAAAATTTGAAAAGATTTTGAAGAGACTGTTTCCTATAGATAAGCTTTCCTCAATTTTGGAAGTATGACATTTTAGGATGAATAGTGCTTTGTCGTGGGGGGTTAACCTTTGCAATGAAAATATTTAGCAGCATCTCTGATATCTGCCTACTAGATTCTAGTTGTACTCATCAGCTGTGTCAACCAAAAATGTCTCCACGTATTGCCAAATGTCCGCTGAGTAGGCAAAATTGTCCCCAGTTGAGAAATGCTACTATAGAGTAAGAGAGAAGAGCCAGAGAAATCCTGCTTTGCAATTGTTGCTATCACCTAAATTTTCCCCTAAGATAGAGAAGCTAGAGAAAGCCTAGTTATATGTACAAATGAAGACAAACCTAGTTTTTTTTTTAGCGTGTTAAAACTTTACATCTTTATCCAAACATCTCATGTACCCCATAGATATAGACACCTAGTGTGTACTCACAAAAATTAAAAATTAAAGAAAACACATTGGCTTATATGGTTTTGGGAGCTTCTAATTCTGAAATTTGTAAGGCAGGCTGATAGACTGGAAACTAATGTTGCAGTTTTGAGGCTGCTTTTTTTTTTCTCAGGAAAATCTTATTTTCTTTTAAGGCCTTTCAGTTGACTCAGTAATGTTCACCCATATAATCAAAGTAATCTCCTTTACTCAACTTAACTCATTGTACATGTTAACACATCTACAAAATACCTTCACAGCAGCACCTATATCAGTGTTTAAACAACTGGGTACCATAGCCTAGCCAAGTTGACACACAAAACTATCATAACAACTATATTTTTTGAGTTTCACAAGCTATTTTGTATAAAACACAAATTAGTATGTTGATTGTGAATCTCAGTAGCTCCTAAAAATATAAATTTTGTCTGGTTATAGTGGCTCATGCCTGTATTACTAGCACTTTGGGAGGCCAAGGCAGGAGGATCACTTGAGGTCAGGAGTTTGAGACCAGCCTGGGCAATATAGTGAGACCTCATTTATACAAAAATATAAAAAATAGCCAGGCATGGCTGCACACACCTGTAGTATTGGCTACTTGGGAGGCTGAGGCACGAGGATCACCAGAGCCCAAGAGTTCAAGGTTGCAGTGAGCTATGATCACACCATTGCACTCTAGCCTGGGTATAAGGGTGAGAATCCGTCCCAAAAAGAAACAAAAATTATGACTAGCACTATTTAACAAAGAGTTTGAGACTTTATCCAGAGCATTACACAAATGAGCTCAAGGAAAAGGTAAGCAGAGTGGCAAAGCATGAGCGTGGGGTAAAACCTGAGTGTGACTTCAAATTCAGGCCTACTGTCTACTGGCTATGTAACCTAGAGCAAATCACTTACCTCTTTGAGTTTTGGTTTCCTTATCTCTTAAGGAGACATAATAATACCTACATCAAAGCATTATTATGAAATTGAAGTGAGGTGATGTGTTGAAAATGTCTAGAAAAGGATTTAGCCTATAACAATAGTTATAATGTACTGGCTGCTTTCCATACATTCTATGCTATTCTGAGCTCTTTTCACAAATCAAGTCATAATTATTTCAATAACCCTAAAAGGCCTTTACTATTATTACTCCCATTATAGAGATAAAGAAAATAACGCTTGAAACAGTTAGAGAACTAACATTCCCAAGCCAACACTTGTTCCCAGACTGCCAGACATCAGAGTCTAAGCTCTTAACTACAGTAACTTTGGTTTCAACAAGTATAAATATATAGACCAAGGGTCATCAAATTACAGCCCACAGACAGCAGGCCAAATGTAGGTCACTCTCTGTTTTTATATAGCCTGTGAGCTATGAATGGTTTTTACATTTTTAAGTGGTTAAAAGACAATCAAAAGAAGAAAACTATTTTGTGATATCTAAGAATTAATTGAAATTGGGCCAGGCACGGTGGCTTATGCCTGTAATCCCAGCACTTCGGGAGGCCAAAGCAGGCAGATCACTTGAGGCCAGGAGTTTCTTACCAGCCTGGCCAACATGGCAAAACCCTGTCTCTACTAAAAATACAAAAGTTAGTTGGGCATGGTGGCGTCGCCAGTAACCCCAGCTACTCGGGAGGCTGAGACACAAGAATTGCTTGAGCCTGGGATGTGGAGGTTGCGGTGAGCTGAGATAGCACCACTGTACTCCAGCCTGAGCAACAGAGCAAGACTGTGTGTTAAAAAAAATAAATTACTTGAAATTTAAATTTTAGTGCCCATAACTAAATTTTTTTTGGAACAGCTCTACACTCATTTTTTTAAACATATTCTGTAGGGTTGTTTGCATGCTATTTGGCTGAGTTATGTAGTTGCAATAGAGATTATGTTTGGTAAAATGCAACATATTTCCTCTCTTGCCCTTTATAGGAAATGGTAGCCAATTCTGGCCTAGTAACTTATTCTCCTAACTTTGGACTACTCCATTTTATACATATTGTGTGTGTGTGTGTGTGTGTGTGTGTGTGTCTTGAGAAAATAGAACAGATGAAGCTAAGAAAATGCAAACTTACCAAACAGTGAAAAGAGTATGGAGAGAAAAAATTTGCTACCTTGTTTGATGCTGATGAAAAACTATTAATATGATGACAGAAATAGAGAAAAATTGTTTGACAACACCATCTACTGAGAAAATCTGATATTACAGAGAATGTGACAAAACCAGTTTCTCTCAACTTTTTGTATGCATCAGCATCACCTGGATTCTTGGTATGAAATAAATATTTCTGAATTAACATTCCTCACAGAACTTAATAGAAAACAATGCTCATACCCGAGGTAAACATGGCACATGGCCATTTGTATTTCTTCCTATTTTATGTATTTCCTTCATTCAGGTTAGTATTGTTGTATCTTCAGCAGTGGACTTGGTGGGTAAATATTCCATTGATGCTCTGGTTGGAATCAGGGAGGCCTCAGGCCTTTATCCAAGCCTTATTGAGTCCCATTGACAGAGATCATTATACAATGGTTGTCTGCAAGGAAAGGGATGTTTACTGCAGCTGTGCTAAGCCAGGAATCAGAGGGCAGGGTCAGGTAATTTAAGTGAGAACAGCAGTATTGGCTATCTGAATGGGAGAATGAAGCCTGATGAATTCCACTAATAGGGTGTCTACTGATGATTTTCCCCGATGTTCTCAGCTCAGGAGTATAGGCTTGTGGTCTGAAGGCATCATAAATGCACCACGAAGTTTCTGATAAGACATAAGCTGAAAGAGCTTGCTCTCTAACTTCCAGTGTGCCTTAAGGTGCTATAAGGATCAGTGTGTGTGTGTGTGTGTGTGTGTGTGTGTGTGTTCATCTGTGTTCCTTCCATGGCAATCCTGAGAAAAGAACAAGATTGCCAAGTTGTGGAGGGAAGATGCTAGTTAGGAAAGGTGAGAAAAGGTAGTATCAGTGAAATTATTTGGCAATAGTAGTAGTGGCACTGCTAACTTTTCTTTCTAATTTAGAAGATGTTAGGGGCATATGACCCTTTGAGGTAGATATTATTATTAAAGTCAAACATTACTGATGAAAAAATTGAAGCTTTGAGAGGATAAAAAACTGTTAAGATCACTCAGCTAATAAATGATGATTCCAGCCAAGACACAAATCCAGTTTTTATTTGATTTTATTTTTTTACTTTAAAGCCCATGTTTCTTTCATAATGTTAAGCTATTAGGCTGGCATATACATATATATATGTACATAAAACTATCATAATAATAATTACCATTTATTGAGCACTTTGTAGGGCTAGGTTATATATGACATATATAATATCATATGTATATATGATATATATATATATATATTTTGTGTGTGTGTGTATTCTTTGCTTAATATAATTACCACCATAGGTCTGAAACTGAACTAACAAACCATTATTTCCTCCATTCTATTGATGAAGAAATAAGTTCTAAGAGGTTAAAGTGACTTTCTCAATATCACTCAGCTAGTATGTGCAGAGTCTGGATTTAAACTCAGGTCTCTTTGACTCTATATCTTTCCATTATATTAAGATATATTCAAGAGTTGGTATAGTATCCCAATACCACAATTCCCTTTCTTAAGACTTATATAAAGTATGGAGCTGGTTCTCTTATGCAGTCAAACCAGGAACTATAATTAGGAAAAACGCCAGGAATGATGTATGCCTAACATAACCCATAAGGACTACGAATGAACACAGATGATTTCTAGGAAATTTTAATATTCAGAAGCCTATTTACTTCACAGCAAATAAATCATTGATGATCATTGACACATTGCCTGGGTATTCTGTGAAACATCAGGATGGGTTTACACT
The DNA here is from genome assembly GCF_000001405.40 of Homo sapiens. Classification (NCBI taxonomy): domain Eukaryota; kingdom Metazoa; phylum Chordata; class Mammalia; order Primates; family Hominidae; genus Homo; species Homo sapiens. Next base: position 87,695,949 of record NC_000023.11, on the reverse strand, counting down.
TCAAACCTTAAGATGATTTAATCCACAGCCTACAGCTTGATCGCAACCTCATGAGAGACCATGAACTAGAACCACCCAAGGAAGCAACTCTTATATTTCCTGACCCTCTGAAAGTGTGTGTTGTAATAAGCATTAATTTTTAAGATGCCAAATTTGGGATAATTTCTTACACAGAGAAAGTAACAAAAAGATGTTAATTTTTAAGATGCTAAATTTGGAATAATTTCTTACACAGAAAAAGTAACACATAGGCACATTATTTTAATGCAGCTATATCATTTTGTTTCTAAAGGTAATATTAAAATGTAGCTGGTTTTTGGTACTATCTAAAGCCAAAAGATTAGGTGATATATTATGTCTCAACTTTCTGCAGGAATAGTTTTGCAACATTGCTGTTAATTACCATCCTTCTCCCTACGTCCTCCCTGTGGTCTTCCAGCTTCCTTGGATTGCCAATGCAGGCCACATCTTAAGTAAAAACCTGTTACTCCTCCATCCCCGATACTCGCATCCCGAGCATGCAATGAGTTTTATAAACACACAGAATAACCACTAACTTACCCAAGATAACAAAGCTTTTATCTCTGCTGGCCAGGATCTACTCTTACAGGTGTTTTACTTCATCTTCTCACCTTTCTGGATCCACAGGTAAACAAGTTTCTCTCTCCAGCCTCCTCTCAACCTGCATCTCACTTGTAGTCTCATCTCATGCTGGGGATATTGGGAACATTTATTTTAATTGGCAGTCCTCATCTTTCCTCTCTAGAGTCTCTTAGATATCCTCAATCACTTTCCTTTAGTGTCAGGTCAAAGTATCTCTCATTCTCTTCTGTAGACATTTTTTTTTTCCTGCCATTCTGATGAATAGCTGCATGGGTTTTCATCTTTAATAGTTCTTTGCTAGGGCTTGGATATAGTTTGTCTGTCCTCATCAAAACTCATATTGAAATTTGATCACACACTTGGCAGTGTTGGGAGGTGGATTATAGTGGGAGGTGTTTTTGTCATGGGGGCAGATTCTTCAGAAATAGGTTAATGCCCTCTTTTGGGGGTCAATCAGTTTTTTCTCTCCCTGGAATGGATTAAATACCAAGAAAGTGGGTTTTTAAAAATAATCTGACTTCCACGATTTCTTCTCTTCCTTCCTGTTTCACCATGTGATCTCTTTACACATGCTGGCTACCCTTCCATTTTCTGCTATGAGTGGAAGCAGCCTGAGGCCCTTGCCAGATGCATCTGTGCAATCCTGGATTTTCCATCCACCACAGTCATGAACCAAATAAACCTCTTGATTTTTATAAATTACCAGTCTCAGATACTCTGTCATAGCAACACAAAATGGAAGAAGAAATTATCATAATTCAAATGTATTGCTAAGAAAGTTGGAATGGTATAAAATTTAATCAAAATGATTAGAAAGTATGTTCAAGTCCTTAATATAATTAGATAATGAAATATATGTAAACTAAATAATGAAATACATTTCTAGATACAAAATTGTATATATATAACTATATATGTTTTATATAACCAATAAAGATATAATTAAATTATTTTATCTTCTGCTGACAGAATGTATAGCAAAACCTCAATAACTTATATGAAACCTAGTAAAATGAGAGCTAAATAATAAGAATTAGTGATTGTATAACTGTAGGGTCCATTGAAGAGAAATTGTGGCTGGTAGGCAAAAGTAGTTCAGTTATTAAAAGATGAACTACAGCTAGAGTAACATATCTCTCACAAGCAATAGCTGCTTTTTTTTCTTGAGACAGAGTCTTGCTCTCTTGCCCGGGCTGGAGTGCAGTGGCACAATCTCAGCTCACTGCAACCTCCACCTCCTGGGTTCAAGTGATTCTCCTGCCTAAGCCTCCCGAGTAGCTGGGATTATAGCAATAACTGCTTTTGCTCTGATGACTAATTTAGTTTCCCAAGAACATTGGTATAAAAAGTGCTATCTTGGGTAATTTTGGCTACTGCAAATGTGTATTTATTATCTTATGATAATGATATACAGATGCTCCTTGATTTATGATGGTTCTATCCAGAAGAAACCCCTCATAAATTAAGGAGAGTACTGAATGTGTATCACTTTCCACAGTTGAAAAATCATAAGTCAAGCCATCATACATCAGCGATTTCCCTGAAAAGCCAGAAGGCTTCTCATTTAAGTATTTTTTTTCAAAATTTGATACTGAACAACAAATGAATGTCAAATCTGGCTTGCAACTTGCTTTGTTCAGCTTAGAAAACATTCTAAATTGAATTTGATTGCCTTCAAAGAAGTTTGTAATCTCAATCCCAAAGCGCTATAACTCAATTTTGTTTATATACGGTGCCATTCACATATTTATGTTACCTATATGGCCTATGAAAACATTTGAATTTGCAGGCCCTTAACCTAAATAATACTTTGATTTTACTTGTTTAAAGTTAATTAGTTTGGGCTCTCAAACAAATCATCTGATCATAGGTCCTCTACATCTCAAGCCTGGTTTGTTGTCCCTCTGCTACTACTGAAAAACCAAAGATGAAACCATAGGTTTCAGGTAGTGAATGCAACCCCTTACAGACACTTAACTTGCTCAAGTTCTTTATTTACTTAACAACTGTGAAAAATTACAGAAATCACAAGCCTATGACTGTGGGTGAAGGATGCCTCCTGTATCATCAAGAAATATCGATTCCAAAATGTAAACCAATTTGATTTTTCTTCTCAGTCTATTCTTTTCACAACTTAAAAAATAACTTCAAGGTCTGTGTATTCATTATTTGAATAAATTACTTTGCACCTGCTCCCCTTAGACTTTAGTTCTGTAAAAGTATGTTTCACAAATAGCAACAGAGAATGTTTACAGCTTAACTTCTCAGAAAGGTAACAACATAATGTCTGTTCTCTCTAAACTCCCACTCCTGTTTCACGGAGAAAAACTGAAGACCCACACTCTCATGCTTTTACTGACTTTGTTTTTATAGTAGTATTCCTGGTGACTAGAAGAAGGATGGAATATTTTTTCTTATTTTCTCTAAGTCATGTCCATCTTCTACCCTTGAATAGTAAGCCATAAAATCACATCATCCTAGAAAAAAATGACTTCCTTTTTAAATTTCAACTTTTATTTTAGATACAGAAGTACATATATTGGTTTGTTACATGGGAAAACTGTGATGCTGAGTTGGGACTCTGTCACCCAGGTAGTAAACACAGTACCCAATAGGTAGCTTTTCAACCTATGCTCCTTCCTTTTTCCTCTAGTAGTCTGCAGTATCTATTGTTCCCATGTTTATGTCCATGTGTGCTCAATGTTTAGCTCCCAGTTATAAGTGAGAACATGTGGCATTTAGTTTTCTGTTTCTGCAGTAATTAGCTTAGAATTACGGCCTCCAACTGCATCCATGTTGCTGCAAAGGACATGAATCTATTCTTTTTTACATCTGCATAGTATTCCATGGTATATATATGCCACATTTTCTTCATCTAATCTTCTATTGTTGGGCACCTGTATTGATTTCAGGTCTTTGCTATTGTGAATACCATAGTGATGAACAAAATGAGTGTGTGTCTTTTTGGTAGAATGATTTGTTTTACTTTAGGCGTATGCCCAGTAATGGGATTGCTAGGTCAAATGATAGCTCTGTTTTAAGTTCTTTGAGAAATTTTCAGACTGCTTTCCACAGTGGCTGAACTAATTTATATTCCCACCAGCAGTGCATAAGTGTTCCCTTTCCTCTGCAGCCTCACCAGCATCTGTTGTTTTTTTGACTTTTTAGTAATAGCCATTCTGACTGGTGTGACATGGTATCTCATGGTGGTTTTGATTTGCATATGTATGGTGGCCACTTATACGTCTTCTTTTGAGAAGTGTCTGTTCATGGATATGTCCTTTGCTCATTTTTTAAAGGGGTTATTTGTTTTTTGCATGTTGATTTGTTTAAGTTCCCCATAGTTTCTGGATATTAGGCCTTAGTCAGATGCATAGTTTGTATTTTCTCCCATTCTGTAGGTTGTCTGTTTACTATGTTGATAGTTTATTTTCCTGTGCAGAAGCTTTTTAGTTTATTTAGTTCACACTTGTCTAAGTTGCTTTGTGTTGCAATATTTTTTGGAGATTTTGCCAACAATTATTTGCCAAGGCCAATGTTGAGAAGAGTAATTTCCATGTTGTGTCTTCTAGATTTTTTGTAGTTTGAGGTCTTACTTTTAAATGTATAATCCATTGTGAGTTAATTTTTGTATATGATGACACGTAGGTGTCACGTGTGTCCATGTGAAGAGACCATGTGAAGAGACTTGTTGCTTTGTGTGAAGAGACTTGTTGCTTTGTGTGAGCAACAAGGCTGTTTATTTCACTTGGGTACAAGTGGGCTGAGTCTGAAAAGAGAGTCAGCAAAGGGAGATAGGAGTGAGGCAGTTTTATAGGATTTGGGTAGGTAGTGGAAAATTACAGTTAACGGGGGTTGTTCTCTTGTGGGCAGGGGCGGGAGTCACAAGGCGCAGGGTGGGGAGATCATGAGACTCATGGTCCAGGGGAGGAACATCACAAGGTCGATTGATTAGTTGGGGTGGGGCGGGAACAAATCACAATGGTGGAATGTCATCTTTTGTGGTTCTTCAGTTGCTCCAGGCCATCTGGATGTATACATGCAGGTCATAGGGGTTATGATGGCTTAGCTTGGTCTCAGAGGGCTGACAGTAGGGGTCCAGCTTCAATCTTCTACATATGGCTAGCCAGTTATTCCAGCACCATCACTATAAAAATCCTCAACAGACTAGGCACAGAAGGAACATACCTCAAAATAATAATAGCCATCTGTGACAAACCCCCAGCCAACATCATAATGAATGGGCAAAAGCTGGAACTATTCCCTTTGAGAACTTGAACAAGACAAGGATGCCCACTTTCACCACTCCTATTCAACATAATACTGAAAGTCCTAGCCAGAGCATTTGGGCAACAGAAAGAAATAAAAGCCAGACAAACAGAAAAAGAAGAAGCCAAACTATCTCTCTTCACTGATAATATGATTTTATACCTAGAAAATCAGAAAGACTCTGCTAAAAGCCTCCTAGAACTGATAAACTACTTTCATAAAATTTTTGGATACAAAATCAATGTACAAAAATCAGTAGCATTTCTATATATGAACAATGTCCAGGGTGAGAGAAAAATTAAAAACACAATCCCACTTACAATAGCCACGAAGAATATGAAATAACTAGTCATACAGCTAACCAAGGAGATGAAAGATCTCTACAAAAAGAACTACAAAACACTGCTGAAAAAAATCAGACAACAGCCGGGCGCGGTGTCTCATGCCTGTAATCCCAGCAGTTTGGGAGGCCGAGTTGGGCGGATCACGAGGTCAGGAGACCCAGACCATCCCGGCTAACACGGTGAAACCTCGGTGAAACCTCGTCTCTACTAATAATACAAAAAAATTAGCCGGGCGTGGTGGCAGGCACCTGTAGTCCCAGCTACTCGGGAGGCTGAGGCAGGAGAATGGTGTGAACCTGGGAGGCGGAGCTTGCAGTGAGCTGAGATCGCGCCACTGCACTCCAGCCTGGGCGACAGAGCAAGACTCCATCTCAAAAAAAAAAAAGAAAAGAAAAAAAGAAATCAGACATAAAACATATATATGGAAAAACATTCCATGCTCGTGGATTGGAAGAATCAATATCGTAAATATGGCCATACTGCCCAAAGCAATGTACAGATTCAATGTTATTCCTTTCCAACTACCAACATTATTCTTCACAGAGTTAGAAAAAAAACTGTTCTAAAATTCATTTGAGACCAAAAACAGCCTGAATAGCTAAAGCAATCCTAAGCAAAAAGAATAAGGCTGGAGATATCACACTACCTAACTTCAAACTATAAGACTACAGTAACCAAAACAGCATTGCACTTGTGCAAAACAAACACACAGAATAATGAAACAGAGTAGAAAATCTAGAAATAATGCTGCCACACCTACAACCATCTGATCTTTGACAAGGCTGGCAAAAATAAGCAGTGGGAAAATGACTCCATATTCAAAAAATGACTTTTTTTTTTTAACAGTACAGGAGAACCGTAACAGTGGATTCTTCTGGGATCATCTTATCATGCAGTAAAGAAGGGGTAAAGGATAATTTTTAAAAAATTACTTCTAAAACCTACCACAGATATCGGCAAACTGTTTTTTCTGTAAGAAACCAAACAGTAAATATTTTATGCTTTATGGACCACAATCTCTGTTGCAACTACTCAATTCTGCCATTGTAATACACCAATAAATAAGCATGACTGTTTCCATGAAACACAAAACAAAAAGCAAGTGATGAGAAGCTGATATGACCAAAAGAGTGCTGCTTTTTTTTCTTTTTCTTTTTTTCTTTTTTTGGAGATGCAGTCTTGGTCTGTCACCCAAGTTGAAGTGCAGTGGCATAATCTTGGCTCACCGCAACCTTCGCCTCCCAGGTTCAAGTAATTCTCCTGCCTCAGCCTCCAAAGTAGCTGGGATTACAGGCGCCTGCCACCATGCCCGGCTAATTATTGTACTTTTTGGCCAGGCTGGTCTCGAACTCCTGACCTCAAGTGATCCAGCCCCCTTGGCTTCCCAAAGTGCTGGGATTACAGGCATGAGCCACCGTGCCCAGCCAAAAGAGTGTTGCTTTTCTTTTCTTTTTTTTTTTTTAGCAATTTTTTTTTAATTATTATACTTTAAGTTCTAGGGTACATGTGCACCACGTGCAGGTTTGTTACATATGTATACATGTGCCATGTTGGTGTGCTGCACCCGTTAGCTCATCATTTACATTAGGCATATCTCCTAATGCTATCCCCCCCCACTCCCCCAACCCCACGACAGGCCCCGGTGTGTGATGTTCCCCACCCTGTGTCCAAGTGTTCTCATTGTTCAGTTCCCACCTATGAGTGAGAACATGCGGTGTTTGGTTTTCTGTCCTTGAGATAGTTTGCTCAGAATGATGGTTTCCAGCTTCATCCATCAGTGCTGCTTTTCTAACACTGAATATCCTTACATTGTCTCATTTAATGCGTGTGACTTTGAAAGGGGCTCATTTTAGTGAACACTTTTTACCCAACATTCCAGAGATTCAAACATGCCTAGATAATAAACGTACAGTATTTTTCATGCGCGTCCGTGTGAAAAGACCACGAAACAGGCTTTCTGTGAGCAATAAAGCTTTTTAATCACCTGGCTGCAGGCAGGCTGAGTCCGAAAAGAGAGTCAGCGAAGGGAGATAGGGGTGGGGCCGTTTTATAGGATTTGGGTGGGTAGTGGAAAATTACAGTCAAAGGGGTTTGTTCTCTTGCTGGCAGGGGTGGGGGTTACAAGGTGCTCAGCGGGGGAGCTTCTGAGCCAGGAGAAGGAATTTCACAAGATAATGTCATCAGTTAAGGCAGGAACTGGCCATTTTCACTTCTTTTGTGATTCTTCACTTGCTTAGGGCCATCTGGATGTATACCTGCAGGCTTGGGCTCAGAGGCCTGACAGTATTAAATCTGATATTTAGATTTCTGACTTCTAATTATATACCAAAGTTGTTCTCTTTTTAAATTTGTTTCATTTCATCACTGAAGCATCTCTCAAAATCTCTTGATTAAAATCTTTTTGTCCTGCCAGTACTTTTTTACCTCTATTATTACGCAACTGTGTGATATGAAATGTTATGTTTCATTCATCATTAGGGATGATATCCAATAAAATTTAAATTGGCTTACATAGGCCTTCTGTTTCTGTTTCATCCAGTGCTTTTAATCATATAAAACTATGTTGAATTCTGTCAAATTCTTTCTCTGAATCTACTGAAATCATTATGTGTTTTATCTGTTTATGTAATATAGTGTATTACATTGATTTATTTTTGTATGTGGGCTTCAATGTTGACACATAATAACAATTTAAAATATGTTGACTTACAGACCACTGGAGAACTGTAGAAAGCCCTAGTGCTTACTCATACCTAGTTCTCATTTGTTTCCCAAACTAATAAGAAGACCATTCTATCTTGCTTCTTTCCAGTTATTGATGGTTGTCACGTGACTGGTTCTACTATATTGTGAATATGTTCCCTAGAATTCATGTGTTGGAAGCTGAATTGCTATTGTAACAATATTAAGAAGTGATGCTTTTAAGGGATGATTAGGCCATGAGGGGAATGGATAAATGTCTTTATCTTGGGAGTCAGTTAATTACTGTGGGAGTGAGTTCCTAATAAAAAAAGATGAGTTCAGCCAGATTTTCTCTCTCGTCTCATGAGCTCACTTCCACTTTCCACCTTTCCCCTATGTGGTGACTTTCATGCACGTCCATGTGAAGAGACCACCAAACAGGCTTTGTTTGAGCAACATGGCTGTTTATTTCACCTTGGTGCAGGCGGGCTGAGTCCGAAAAGAGAGTCAGCGAAGGGAGATAAGGGTGGGGCCGTTTTATAGGATTTGGGTAGGTAAAGGAAAATTACAGTCAAAGGGGGTTTGTTCTCTGGCGGGCAGGAGTGGGGGTCGCAAGGTGCTCAGTGGGGGTGCTTTTTGAGCCAGGATGAGCCAGGAAAAGGACTTTCACAAGGTAATGTCATCACTTAAGGCACGGACTGGCCATTTACACTTCTTTTGTGGTGGAATGTCATCAGTTAAGGTGGGGCAGGGCATATTCACTTCTTTTGTGATTCTTCAGTTACTTCAGGCCATCTGGGCATATACGTGCAAGTCACAGGGGATGCGATGGCTTGGCTTGGGCTCAGAGGCCTGACATTCCTGCCTTCTTATATTAATAAGAAAAATAAAACAAAACAGTGTTGAAGTGTTGGGGCGGCGAAAATTTTTGGGGGGTGGTATGGAGAGAGAATGGGCGATGTTTCTCAGGGCTGCTTCAAGCGGGATTAGGGGCAGTGTGGGAACCTAGAGTGGGAGAGATTAAGCTGAAGGGAGGTCTTGTGGTAAGGGGTGATATTGTGGGGATGTTAGAAGAATCATTTGTCATATAGAATGATTGGTGATGGCCTGGATACAGTTTTGTATGAATTGAAAAACTAAATGGAATAACAAAAGGAGAAAAACAGGTATAAAATGTCTAAGAATTGGGACGACTCAGGATATCTGATTAGAGAGTGCTTAAGCAGATTCAGCATAGTCCTGCCAGCAAAGATTATTTATTTACTTCAAGAGTTAAGAGCGGCAGTCTGGGGATAGCACCAGGAGATATCAGCTGTGATGTTTTGGAAAAACAGTGTAAACCGGCAGTGTAAACAAGAGCAGGGCATGTATGAGTAGTTGAGAACGGTGAATAGGAGTATGACTAGACAGAAGATAGTAGGGATGACAAGTTTTTTTGGGGACACAGTCTAAGTTGGTCTGGTGTCTGGAATGAGACTGGGGCCTAATAAAAAGGAGCGTCTATACAGGAGCTTAAATGGGCTGTACCCTGTAGCATTCCGAGGACAGGCCTGAATTCTGAGAAGGGAAAGTGGTAAAAGTATTGTCCAGTCCTTTTAAGTTGGTGGCTGAGCTTGGTGAGGTGTGTTTTTAAGAGACCTTTAGTCCATTCTACTTTTCTTGAAGATGGAGGACCGTAAGGGATATAAAGGTTTCCCTGAATACTAAGAGCCTGAAAAACTGCTTGGCTGATTTGACTAATAAAGGCTCGTCTGTTATCAGACTGTATTGAGGTGGGAAGGCTAAACTGAGGAATTATGTCTGACAGAAGGGAAGAAATGACTGTGGTGGCCTTCTCAGACCCTGTAGGAAAGGCCTCTACCTATCCAGTGAAAGTATCTACCTAGACTAAGAGGTATTTTAGTTATCTGACTCAGGGCATGTTGAGTAAAGCTAATTTGCCAGTCCTGGGTGGGGCAAATCCTGGAGCTTGATGTGTAGGGAAGGGAGGGGGCCTGAATAATCCCTGAGGAGTAGTAGAATAGCAGATGGAACACTGAGAAGTTATTTCCTTGAGGATAGATTTCCATGATGGAAAGGAAATGAGAGGTTCTAAGAGGCGGGCTAGTGGCTTGTACTACAGCATAACCTGCCTTTGTTGGTGTGTGGTGATTAGGCCTGGTGGAACCGCCATCAATAAATCAAGCGTGATCAGGGTGAGGAACAGGAAAGAAGGAAATTTGGGGAAATGGGGTGAATGTCAGGTGGATCAGAGAGATACAGTCATGGGGGTCAGGTGTGGTATCAGGAATAATGTGGGAGGCCGGATTGAAGTCTGGGCCAGGAACAACGGTAATTGTGGGAGACTCAACGAAGAGTGAGTATAGCTGAAGGAGCCAGGAAGCAGAAAGTATATGCGTCAGGTATGAGGAAGAAAATAGATTTTGGAAGTTATGAGAACTGTAGAGAGTGAGTTGAGCATAGTTTGTGATTTTGAGGGCCTCTAAAGGTATTAATGCAGTGGCAGCCGCTGCACGCAGACATGAGGGCTAGGCTAAAACAGTAAGGTCAAGTTGTTTGGACAGAAAGGCTACAGGGTGTGGTCCTGGCTCTTGTGTAAGAATTCTGACCGCACTAACCATGCCTAGGAAGGAAAGGAGTTGTTGTTTTGTAGAAGGTGCTGGGGTTTGAGAGATCAGTCGGACATGATTGACAGGGAGAGCACGTGTGTTTTTATGAGAATTATGCCAAGATAGGTAACAGATGAGGAAGAAATTTGGGCTTGATTGAAGTAATGGGGGCTGTCTGTGAAGCTTTGCAGCAGTACAGCCTAGGTAATTTGCTGAGCTTGATGGGTGTCAGGGTCAGTCCAACTGAAAGTGAAGAGAGGCTGGGATTAAGGGTGCAAAGGAATAGTAAAGAAAGCATGTTTGAGATCTAGAACAGAATAATGGGTTATAGAGGCAGGTATTGAGGATAGGAGAGTATATGGGTTTGGCAGCACGGGGTGGATAGGCAAAACAATTTGGTTGATAAGGCGCAGATCCTGAACTAACTTGTAAGGCTTGTCTGGTTTTAGGACAGGTAAAATGGGGGAATTGTAAGGAGAGTTTATAGGCTTTAAAAGGCCATGCTGTAGCAGGCAAGTGATAACAGGCTTTAATCTTTTTAAAGCGTGCTGCGGGATGGGATATTGGCACTGAGTGGGGTAAGGGTGATTAGGTTTTAATGAGATGGTAAGGGGTGCATGATCGGTCGCCAAGGAGGGAGTAGAGGTATCTTATACTTGTGGGTTAAGGTTGGGGGATACAAGAGGAGGATGCAAAGGAGGCTTTGGATTGGGAAGAAGGGCAGCAATGAGATATAGCTGTAGTCCAGGAATAGTCAGGAAAGCAGATGATTTAGTTAAAGTGTCTCAGCCTAATAAGGGAACTGGGCAGGTGGGGATAACTAAAAAGGAGTGCTTAAAAGAGTATTGTCTAAGTTGGCACCAGAGTTGGGGAGTTTTAAGAGGTTTAGAAGGCTGGCCGTCAATACCCACAACAGTTATAGAGGCAAGGGAAACAGGCCCTTGAAAAGAAGGTAATGTGGAGTGGGTAGCCTCCGTATTGATTAAGAAGGGGACGGGCTTACCTTCCACTGTGAGAGTTACCGGAAACTCGGAGTCTGTGATGGTCTAGGGGGCTTCCGAGGTGATCGGGCAGTGTCAGTCTTCAGCCGCTAAGCCGAGAAGATCTGGGAAGGAGTCAGTCAGAGAGCCCTGGGCCAGAGTTCCAGGAGCTCTGGGAGTGGCTGTCAGGTGAGTTGAACAGTCCGATTTTCACTGGGGTCCCACACAGATGGGACGCGGCTTAGGAGGAATCCCGGGCTGTGGGCATTCCTTGGCCCAGTGGCCAGATTTCCGGCACGTGTAGCAAGCTCCTGAGGGAGGAGGTTCTGGAGGAAGGCCTGGCTGCTGCGGTTCAGGCGTTTGGAAGTTCTTGTGTGCTGGAGACGTGGCTGGGGTTTGTCTCACAGTGGAGGCAAGGAATTGCAACTTTTTTCTGTTATTGTACACCTTGAAGGTGAGGTTAATTAAATCCTGTTGTGGGGTTTGAGGGCCAGATTCCAATTTTTGGAGTTTTATTTAATGTCGGGAGCAGATCGGGTAATAAAGTGTATATTGAGAATAAGATGGCCTTTTGACCTTTTAGGGTCTAGGGCTGTAAAGTGTCTCAGGGTTGCTGCCGAACGAGCCATGAACTGGGCTGGGTTTTTATATTTGATAAAAAAGAGCCTAAATGCTTCTGATTTGGGATAAAGAAAAAGGAGCATTAACCTTGACTATGCCTTTGGCTCCAGCCACCTTTTTAAGAGTCAATTGCTGGGCAGGTTGGGGAGGGCTAGTCAGGGAACGAAACTGTAAGCCGGCAAGGTGTGAGGAGGGGAGGTGATAAAAAGATTATAGGGTGGAGGAGCAGAGGCTGAGGAAGAATTGGGACCTAGCTCGGCCTGGAGAGGAGAAGCCTGGGGAGGAAGGCAGAGGTCAGATGGGTCTGTAGAAAAGGAAGATTAGAAAGACTCAGCGACGCTTGGGGTTGGTACTGAGGGGAGAGGCGGGAGGGAAAGAAGGAAGATTTGGGACGAGTTGCACTGGGCACAGAGACTAGGAAGGGACTGATGTGTAAAAGAATGCCTGGACATCAGGCACCTCAGACCGTTTGCCTATTTTACGACAAGAATTATTTAGATCTTGCAGGATGGAAAAATTCAAAGTGCCATTTTCTGGCTATTTGGAACTACTGTCGAGTTTGTATTGGGGTCAAGCAGCATTGCAGAAGAAAATAAGGCATTTAGGTTTTAGGTCAGGTGTGAGTTGAAGAGGTTTTAAGTTTTTGAGAACACAGGCCAAGGGAGTAGACTGAGGAATGGAGGGTGGAAGTTTCCCATAGTGAAGGAAGCAAGCCTAGAGAAAAGAGAGAGTAGAGAAATGGAGGGAAGGGGTTTGGGGGTTCTTACCTTCCAGAAAAGGGGTTGGGGTGCAGAGATAAGAGGTTGGGGCATGGAAATAAGGGATTGGGGCACAGAGATACGAGGTTGGGGCATGGAAATAAGGGATTGGAGTGCAGAGATACGAGGTTGGGGCGCAGAAATAAGGGATTGGGGCACAGAGATATAAGAGGTTGGGGTGCAGAAATAAGGGATTGGGGCACAGAGATATGAGGTTGGGGTACTTGCCCCTCCCCCAGAAAAGCAGGACTTGCTGCTAAGGGTGAAGGAGAAGGGGTTGATGGTTACTTGCCCCTCTCCCAGAAAAGCAGAGAAGGGGTAGAGACAAGGAGAGAAGGGGTTGGGGTACTCACCCTGTTCCTGGAAAAGCAGAGAAGGGGTAGAGACAAGGAGAGAAGGGGTTGGGGTACTCGCCCTGTCCCTGGAAAAGCAGAGAAGGGGTAGAGACAAGGAGAGAAGGGGTTGGGGTACTTGCCCCTTCCCCAGAAAAGCGGGACTTGCCGCTAAGGGTGAAGGACCAAGGCAGGCATCCCTGTGTGGTCTGACACCCTTGAAACATGGGTGTATAATCAGAGAGGCGTCCCTGCAATGATTAAACACCAAGGGAAGGCTGCCTTCCCAGTCCGTGACCGGCGCCAGAGTTCCGGGTCCATGGATAAAACGTGTCTCCTTTGTCACTATCAGAAAATGAAAGGAATTGAAATTAAGAGAAGGGAGAGATTGAAGTGTGGTGCAAGATTGAAAGGAGAAAGAGCTTGAGGGATAGTGAGGGAGGTAGGAGAAGAGAGTAAAAAGAGGTCGCTTACCGGATTTGAAATTGATGAGATGTTTCTTGGGCTGGTCGGTCTGAGGACCTGAGGTCATAGATGGATCTTTCTCATGGAGCAGAGAGCAGGAGGATGGGGGATTTATCTCCCAAGGGAGGTCCCCCTATCCGAGTCACGGCACCAAATTTCATGCGCATCCATGTGAAGAGACCACCAAACAGGCTTTGTGTGAGCAATAAAGCTCTTTATTTCACCTGGGTGCAGGTGGGCTGAGTCCGAAAAGAGAGTCAGCGAAGGGAGATAAGGGTGGGGCCGTTTTTTAGGATTTGGGTAGGTAAAGGAAAATTACAGTCAAAGGGGGTTTGTTCTCTGGCGGGCAGGAGTGGGGGTCGCAAGGTACTCAGTGGGGGTGCTTTTTGAGCCAGGATGAGCCAGGAAAAGGACTTTTACAAGGTAATGTCATCACTTAAGGCAAGGACCGGCCATTTACACTTCTTTTGTGGTGGAATGTCATCAGTTAAGGTGGGGCAGGGCATATTCACTTCTTTTGTGATTCTTCAGTTACTTCAGGCCATCTGGGCATATATGTGCAGTCACAGGGGATGCAATGGCTTGGCTTGGGCTCAGAGGCCTGACAGTGACCTTTGCCCGATGTTGGTGCCGTGCTTTTGAACTTCTCTACCTCCTGTACTGTGATCCAAATAAACTTCTGTTCTTTATAAATTACCTAGTCTCTGGTATTCTATTCTGGCAGCAGAAAATGTACTAAGACATAAAATTAGTACTCAAAAGTGGGGCTGTTGCTATAACAAATACCTGAAAATGTGGAAGTGACTTTCAAATTGGATAATGGGGAGATTTTGGAAGAATTTGGAGAAGTAGTCAAGAAAAAATCTGTATTACTATAACTCCAAAGGTTCTTGCCTTAGCCACGCCAAAGATATGTGGCGGCAGCCCGCGGTGAGAGACAGACACGGATTGGACCAAGAGAAAAAAGCTGTAGTTTTATTGAGCAGAGTGACAGTACAAAGCTCCCACAGCATGGAAGGGGTCCCGAGCGGGTAGCCAGTGTTAGATTTTTCGATCACCTTTTCAACTCTTTGAGGCGGGAACTACCTGCAGTGGGAAGATGTTACCAGAGCGAGAAACAAAGACAATTAACATGTCTCAGATCTTGAGGAAAACCGGAATTGCAACTTAAGTTTTATCTACTTTATAACCTTGCAGCGGCATGGCAAAGGAGACAGGATCTCACAGGATTTTACAAATTGTGTTACAAGGAACTGGAATTGGGAGCATAGATAAGGTCTGCTGGTCACAGAAAAACGGGCTTTTAACATTTCTTTTAGTTTCAGGGGATGGGGAAGGGAGAGAGGGAGAGAGGACACAGGGAAGCTTACAGCAAAAGTTTCGCTGTTTATAGCTTTCTTGGGGAAGAAAACACATGCACAAATTCTGATGTTAGGAATATTTTAAGCATATATCTTCAATAGTATTCATCCAGGACCAAAGTAAGCCCTGATCCAGGAAATGAGTGAGTTTCACAGCTTTCTGAGCCGCTACTCCACCCAGGAGGCCCAGCTGGCACCTCCTCTCATTACCATGAATGAAGCATTAAAGGCAATTTTAGTTAGGGTTCAGAAGAAGAGGGGAGGTGTAGGGAAAGTCTGGAACTTCTTAGAGATTACTTAAGTGATTTTGACCGGAAATCTGGTAGAAATATAGATAATAAAGGCCATTCTAAAGAGGTATCATATGAAAATGAGGAACAAAGTATTGGAAACTAAAGTAAAGGCCATCCTTGTTATATAGTAGCAAAGACTTTGGTTGAATTGTATTCATGTCCTAGGACTTTATGGAATACAAAATGTAACCATGAACTAGAATATCTGCCAGAAGAAATATATAAGCAGTGAAGCATTAAGGCAGCTATGTGACTACTTTTAACCACATACAGTGAGATGTGAGACAAAAGGAATAACTTAAAGATGTCATTTATAATTAAGTAGGAAGCAGAGCAGAAAGATTTGGAAAATTCACAGCCTGGTCAAGTAAAAAGTGAAAAAGTATATTTGAAAGAGAATATTCAGGGTGTGGACAAGGAACCAAACCCTTTGCTAAAGAGATTAACATGAATAGAAAGAAGCCAGGTGTTATTTAGCAAAACAATGGGAGAAAGATCCTAAAGGCATTTCAAAGATCTTTGATGCTTCTCCTCCCATCACAGGCCCAAAGTTCTAGAACAAAAGAATGGTTTGGGAGGATGGGCCTGGAGCATCCTCCACAGGTTCACTGCCCAGAGCCACCTTGGGACTCTGCTCCTTACATTCCAGTACAGTGTTCCTTGGCTACCCAAGCTGTGTCTTAAATGGGCTCAGGTGTGGCTAAACTACTTCTCTGGAAGACACAAGCAGTAATCCTTAGCAGCCTCTCACTCATTCGACTCTACATGAGTGAGAAGTAAATATCTAATATTGTAAGCCAGCTAGGTTTTAACTTTTTTTTTTTTTTAATTAACATAGCCTTGGGCCAGGCGTGCTGGCCTACGCCTGCAGCCCCAACACTTTGGGAAGCCAAGGCTCTGCCTGATCACATGAGGTCAGGAGTTCAAGAGCAGTCTGGCCAACATGGCAAACTCCCATCTCTACTAAACATACAAAAATTAGCTGGGCATGGTGGCATGCACCTGTAATCCCAGCTACTCAGGAGGCTGAGGCAGGAGAATCATTTGAACCCTAGAGATGGAGGTTACAGCCAGCTGAGATTGCGCCACTGCACTCCAGCCTGGGTGACAGAGCGAGACTCCATCTCAAAACAAAAAACCAGAAAACATAGCCTTGTTTGGCCTATCCTAATGACTGTAAATATTGTTACAATGTCATCTTCTAGTGGCTAATAGACCAGATTCTTTGAATTACTTGCACATACTATACTATACTGTTTTCTCCCCCAGAGCATCTCTGTAATTCTAGATAGTAATTCTACAGTCTTGCAGAATGCAAGAGCTGTTAGGGCATGGCTATCTCCACCAAGATTTCAAAGGATTTTGCAGATAGCCTGGGGGGTCAGGGGGCCCAGGAAAAGACTTGTCGTAGGGGTGTAGTTGCTGCAAAGATCCCTTACTCTCTGCAGCATACATGTTACAGGGGCAAAGACCACTGCAGAGAGCCCCTACTATCATGGACTAGGGAAGTCATGGGAATGGGCCATCCCAAAGACCCCAGAATTGTAGCACCACCTGTGTGCAACTCCAGTCCTCCAGCCTGGGAAAGCTGCAGGCATGAGACTCCAAGTTTTGAAAGTTTATGGGTGGACCGAGCTCAGAAAAACAATAAGGGCAGGGCTGCCCAAGGCTTCAAGTGCCCAGCACTCCCAGTGTGACCAGGGTGCTTGGCATGGATTCAAATGAGATTATTCTGAAACTTTAGACTTTTGAGTTGGTGCTTTTAAAAAGTATTTTGGACTTGTTGGGATGGAATGAGTATACTTTGTATATGAGAAGGACATGTATTTTGGGAGCCAGGGGTGGAATGCTATGGTTTGAATGTAACCTACAAAGTTCATGTGTTAGAAACTTGATTGCAATTTTTAAAAATTTAACTTTTGTTTTAAGTTTGGGGTACATGTGCAGGTTTGTTATATGGATCAACTTTGTGTCATGGAGATTTGTTGTTTACCTCCTACTTATAAGTGAGAACATGTAGTATTTGGTTTTCTGTTCCTGAATTAGTTTGCTAAGGATAATAGCCTCCAGCTCCATTAATGTCCCTGAAAAGGACATGATCTTGTTCATTTCATGGCTGCGTCGGTATATGTACCACATTTTCTTTATCCAGTTTGTCACTGATGGGCACTTAGGCTGATTCCACGTCTTCGCTATCGTGAATAGTTCTGCAATGAACATGCATGTGTATGTGTCTTTATAATAGAACGATTCTTTTTCTTTGGAGTATATACACAGTAATGGGATTGCTGTGTCAAGCGGTAGTTCTTAGCCCTTTGAGGAGTTGTCACACTGCTTTCCACAATGGCTGAACTAATTTACACTCCCAACAAAAGTGTATACGCATTTCTTTTTCTTTGCAACCTTGCCAGCATCTGTTATTTTTTGACTTTTTATAATAGCCATTCTGAATGATGTGAGATGGCATCTCATTGTGGTTTTGATTTGCATTTCTCTGATGATCAATGATGTTGAGCTTTTTTCATATGATTGTTGGCTACCTGTATATTTTCTTTTGAAAAATGTATGTTTATGTCCTTTGACCCCTTTTTAATGGGGTTGTTTGTTTCTTTCTTGTAAATTTATTTAAGTTCCTAATAGATGCTGGATATAAGACCTCTGTTGTATGCATAATTAGTGAATACTTACTCCCATTCTGTAGCTTGTCTTTTTACTCTGTTGATGGTTTCTTTTTCTGTGCATAACTCTTTAGCTTAATGAGGTCCTATTTGTCATGTTTTGTTTTTGTTGTAACTGCTTTTAGAGTCTTCGTCATAAAATATTTGCCTGTTCCTATGTCCAGAATGGTATTACCTAGGTTATCTTCCAGGGTTTTTATAGTTTTGGATTTTACATTTGTGATGGTTAATACTGAGTGTCAACTTGATTGGACTGAAGAATGCAAAGTATTGTTCCTGGGTGTGTCTGTGATAGTGTTGCCAAAGGAGATTAACATTTAAGTCAGTGGACTGGGAGAGGCAGACCCACCCTCAATCTGGGTGGGCACCATCTAATCAGCTGCCAGAGTGGCTAGAATAAAGTGGGCAGAACAAAAGTGGAATGAAGAGACTTGCTGATTCTTCCAGTCTTCATCTTTCTCCCGTGCTGGATACTTCCTGCTCTCAAACAACAGACTCCAAGTACTTCAGCCTTTGGACTCTTGGACTTAACACCAGCGGTTTGCCAGGGGCTCTTGGGCCTTTGGCCACAGACTGAAGGCCACACCGTTGGCTTCCTTACTTTTAAGGTTTTGGGACTTGGACTGGTTTCCTTGCTCCTCAGCCTGCAGGTGACCTATTGTGGGACTTCACCTTATGATCGTGTGAGTCAGTTCTCCTAATAAACTCCCCTTCATACACACACACATCATATTTGTTCTGTCCCTTTAGAGAACCCTGACTAATAAAACATTTAAGTCTTTAAACCATCTTGAGTTAATTTTTGTTTATGGTGTAAGAAAGGGGTCTAGTTTCAATCTTCTGCATATGGCTAGCCAGTTATCCAAGCACTGTTTATTGAACAGGCAATTTTTTCCCCATTGCTTGTGTTTGTCAGGTTGTTGAAGATCAGATAGTTGTAGGTGTGCAGCCTTATTTCTGGGTTCTCTATTCTGTTCCATTGGTCTATGTGTCTGTTTTGTACCACTACCATACTATTTTGGTTACTGTAGCCCAGTAGTATAGTTTGAAGTCTGGTAGTGTGATGCCTCCAGCTTTGTTCTTTTTGCTTAGAATTACCTTGGATTTTGTGGGATATGATGAGGTTTCTCTTCAAATAGCCTGATCAATCTTTTAATTCATGGTATCCCCCCTATTTTCCCCCCCTTTTTCTCCTTTTTCCTTTCTGCCTTTATTAGATGCCCAGGCATGCCACAGTACCAGGCGTTATCAGTACCAGCTCACATTCCTTTCCTTACTTGGAAAGAAGACTAACTTTCTAGCTCACTACAGACACCCCTTCCCCTTTCTCTCTCTTTCTTTTATGTGCCCACCTTATCTAAAAACATTCAAATGTTTAGCCAACCGGGATTAGTTTAGATTGTAAGACCCAATCCCGGCCAATGGGGAAAGTGTACTGGGGCAGGACTTGCGCCAGGAATAAAGGCTCTCATGCCCCTTGTTCAAGTGTGCTCTCATGGCGACTGGCCAAGAAGGCACCCCTTTGCGCAGAAGTAAAATTGCTTTGCTAAGAATCCTTTGTTCGAGTGTTCAATTTCCTTAGGATTTTGAGCATTATTCCTAACAATATTTAGGCTCTTATTTTGTTCCATATGAATTTTAAAATAGTTTTTTCTATGATACTGATTTTTCATGTCTATGAGCATGGAGTGCTTTTCCGTTTGTTTGTTTCATCTTTGATTTCTTTGAGCTGTGTTTTGTAGATCTCCTTGTAGAGATCTTTCACCTTCCTAGTTAGCTGTATTCCTACATACTTTATTCTCTTTTTTTGGCAATTGTGAATGGAAGTTCATTCCTGCTTTGGCTCTTGGCTTAGTGTTGTTGGTGTATAGGAATGCTAGCGATTTTTGCACATTGATTTTGTATCCTGAGACTTGCTGAAGTTGTTTATCAGCTTAAGAAGCTTTTGAGCTGAGACTAAGGGGTTCTCTAGATACAGGATCCTGTCATTTGTAAACTGGGATAGTTTGACTTCCTCTCATTCTGTTTGCATGCCTTTTATTTATTTCTCTTGCCTGATTGCCCTTGACAGGACTTCCAATATACTATGTTGAATAGAAGTGGTGAGAGAGGGCATCCTTATCTTGTGCTGGTTTTCAAGGGGAATGATTCCAGCTTTTGCCTATTCAGCATGATGTTGGCTGTGGGTTTTTCATAGATGGCTCTTGTTATTTTGAGGTATGTTTTTTAAATACCTAGTTTTTTTGAGAGTTTTTAACATGAAGCAGTGTCGATTTTTATCAAAAGCTTTTTCTGCATCTATTGAGATAATTAAGTGGTTTTTGTCTTTAGTTCTGTTTATGTGATAAAGCACATTTATTGATTTGTGTATGTTGAACCAACCTTGCATCCCAAACTACAAGAGGTACAGAGGTACTGCCACCTGAATTTGCTCCATCAGAGAGGAATGACAGAGGTGGCTAAACCTCAGAGGGGATGGTTAAGGATTGTATACAGGGAAACTAGAAACTTGAGAGTATAATTTTATTTACTCCGAGTAGAAATTTATCTACCTTTTAGAAAATAAAGAAATATAATGTGACTTTATGGAATAAGAATTGTACCTACTACACACGTGCAATTACTTATTTGTGATTTTTCAATTCATGACAAAAAATTTAGTTATTTTTTTCTGTTAAGATTTATAGGTTTTGTCTAACTTATTCCTCAGAAAATAGACTACTAGATATTAAAAACTTACACCACTATGTATGTGTTAACATTTTGCCATACTTTTTTAAGTCTTTCTTTTGTAAAAGAGCCAACCACTACCATGAGGGTAATGTGCATCCTTCAAGTCAATTGTTTTCTACTTTTACATACACATATGGTGAGTTTTAAAAATTCACAAAAGTGGAATCATAGTGTCTTATCTGTTTTAACAAACAACCTATTCTATCTGGTTATTCAGTGTGCTCTGTTTCTGTCATGACATCTACAGAAAGGTAAAGGCCTCCTCATCTGCTTGCCAACTTTATGTTTCCTTCCATATCCTCTGCATTAGCCACATAATTTTTACCTCCACAAGACCATCCTGCAGGTCCATTGGTAGTTTCCATGCCTCTTTTAGTAATCCATGAACTCATGAACACTTATGTACCCGATTTATGGTCATGGCAGACACAGGTTATCTTCAGCCCTTTTGGACCTAGACATACTACATAGTTATTTCTGATTTACAACTACTTCATGGTATTGAAACTTGCTATCTTTGCAGGTATCATCTTTGAAAAGAAGGTGGTGTACATATTCCCTCTTCTGGGATCCTTAGCCCTATCTGGGGCTTCTATTTGCTCCTAGGAGTGAGTTGAAGAAAGTGGGTACATGGCAAACGTCTCCACACACCCAACATTCACTCATGTCTTTCTTGCTTTATTATCAACTTTCTGCCCAAGAGTCTTTCCCTCCAAGCCCGTGGTATCTTTATCCAGTCTTAGTGGGGAACCAGGAAAAATCTTCTGACTTAACACACCCTCCTGTTAAATATTTTTTTCTTATACCATAATTAGTGATCTTTGAATTTATGATGTAAGATTTTAGTCTTACAACTCCTGAGTAGGGCTATAATGGGCCAGATTAGAGATGGTTACAGGATAAGAATAAATTCAGAGAAATAAAGAACACCCCAGATAATATGTCAATTCATTACACTATTATACAAGCAAAAGCAAAAAAGTGTATCTTCCTTCTAACAAAATTGGAGCATGTTTGGCATAGATGTCTGAGTTAACAAGTCCGGCTAATGAGAAAAAAAAGTTAGCATTTAAGGATTTGGCCTAAGACTCCCAGAAAAATTAGAAAAAGAACATCTGGGCCAGACACAGTGGCTCATGCCTGTAATCCCAGCACTTTGGGAGGCTAAGGCGGGTGGATTACCAGAGCCCAAGAGTTCTAGACCAGCCTGGGACTGGTCTAGATGTGGGACCCCATCTCCACAAAAGATAAAAATAAAACAATTATCTGGGCATGGTGGTGCCACGCCTATAGTTCCAGCTGCTTGGGAGGCAGATGCAGAAGGATTTCTTGAGCCTGGGAGGTCGAGCCTGCAGTGAGCCATGATGCCACGATTGCACCACTGCACTCCAGCCTGGGTGACAGAGTGAGATCCTGTTTCAAAACAAAACAACAACAACAACAACAAAAAATAAAGAAAGAAAAGAAAAAATATCCTTGGGGTTGCAATGTGAGACATGGTACAATTTTTACTTTTTCATATTTTTACTTAAATATAAATTCCTACAGCATAATATTCATCCACTGAAATTTTAGAATCCATGTTTTGAAAATTATATTCATAGAGTTGTGTAACCATAACCACAATCTTAGTTTAGAACATTTTCATTACCATGAAAAGAAACCCCATAAACCTAAATAGTCACTCATTTCCTATTTCCTGCCAGCCCTCATCTCCAGCCCTAGCAAACCATTAATCTACTTTAAGTCTCTATAGATTTTCCTATTCTGAACATTAATATAAATAGTATCATAAAATATTGGGCCTTAGAAACCAAACCCTTGCCAAGCAAAGCTGTGGGGACAGGACCATCACGCGAGAGAGTCTAAAAGGTGGGAACCCTTGCTCCAGTGGATCCAGAAGGTTAGACGTCTGCCCCAGTGTGTATTGATGTTGGTACCTCCAACCCTGTTGGGCCTGGAGGGCAGAGCATCTAGCCAAAGAGGTTTATTCCTGAGCCTTAAAATCTTATGGAGTTTCCCTTATAGTTTGAACTTATGACCTGTCACTCCTGTTTTTCTTTCCTACTTCTCCATAGCAGAATGGGACTCTCTCCTATGCCTGTCCCATTGTTATATTTTTATAAGCAAATTAACATGTTTGGTTTCATAGGTTCACAGCTGAAGGCAAATTTGCTGTACAATAAGTCATACCTTACCGGGCATGGTGGCTTATGCCTGCAATCCTAGCACTTTGGGAGGCCGAGGTGGGGGAATCACGAGGTCAGGAGCTCAAGACCAGCCTGGCCAACATGGTTGAAACCCCGTCTCTACTAAAAGTACAAAAGTTAGCCTGGCATGGTGGCAGTGAGCTGAGATCATGCCACTGCACTCCAGCCTGGGTGAAAGATCGAGACTCTGTCTCAAAAAAAAAAGAATAAGTCATACCTTGAGTCTCACCCATATCTGATTTAGATATTTAGATGAAACATGGGAATTTAGGCTTTTGAGTTGATTCTGGAAACAGTTAAGAGTTTTGGGACTGTTGGAATGGATTAATGTATTTTGCATATGAGAAGGACATGATTTGGGGGGATTAAGGAGGTGAATGTTATGGACCGAATGTTTGTGCCCCTCCAAATTCCTATGTTGAGACTGTTCCCACCCCCAACACGATGATATTGGAAGGTGAGGCCTTTGGAGGGTAATTAGGATTAAATGAGAGCAGAACCCTCATGAATGGGATTAATAAATTTCTAAGAATCTTGAAAGAATGTCCTTTCTGCTCTTCACTTTGTGAAGATACAAAGAGAAATTGGCAGTCTAAAACACAAAATAAATTTCTGTTGCTTATAAACTAACCTATCTATGGTATTTTTGGTATGGAAGCCCAAGCTAAGACAGTGTCTGTTCAGGTTGTTTGTTTTATTATTGTTGATTTCCATGTATATTTTGGATAACTGTCCTTTATCAGACACGCCTTTCGCAAATATTTGTTCCCAGTCTGCGGCTTCTCCTTTCATTCTCTTGACAGTGTATTTTACACAGCAAAGTTTTTGAGTTCAATGAACTTCAACTTATCAAGTCTTTCTTTCATAGACTATGTCTTTAATGTTGTATCTAAAAAGTTATTACCAAACCCAAGGTGATCTAAAGTTTCTCCTATGTTATCTTTTAGGAGATTTTAGGTTTACACTTTACATTTAGATCTGTGATCAAATTTAAATTAATTTTTATGAAGAGTGTAATGTCTGTCTAGATTCATTTTTTAAATATGGATGTCTCGTTTTCCAGCACCATTTGTTGAAAAGCCCATCTTTTTTCCATTGTGTTGCCTTTGGTCCTTGGTCAAAGATCAGTTAACTATATTTATGTGGGTCTATTTATAAGGTGTCCATTCTGTCCCATTGATCTATTTGTCCGCTATTTTGCCAATTTCACACTCTCTTGATTACTGTAGCTTTATAGTAAGTTGTAGTTGGGTTGTGCCAGTCCTCCAATTTTGTTCTTTAATTTCGTGTTGACTATTTTGGGTATTTTGCTTCTCCATATAAACTTTAGTCAGTTTTGCAAGATCAATGTGCTTTTAAATGTGAAGAATCTCAAATGTGACCATCTCGTTCTATCTTCTACTCCTCTTTTTTTTATATATTTCCCATTATTAAACGTTTTGTGCTGTACTCTGTGTAGTGTACTCAGGCTTTCCCTCCAGTTTATTATCTTCTTATTTGTGCGTCATCTGCTACTTTACCTCCCCAGTGAATTTTTAAGTATTTAAAGTGTCCATTTCTGGATGTTCCTGGCTTTCTTCACCTAGGAGAAGTCTCAAGACCATGTCTCAAGACCAAGTCTCAAGACCTTAATGATTCTTGTCTACACATTGGTATTAAAATCTTTGCCCTTGGTGGTTATAACTAAGTTCATTAACTCCAAGATGATCTCTATTACCATCTGAGTTTATTATTGTTTTCTAAGTTCCCTCTGATTTCTAGCATCTAAAGATTTGCCTTTATTTCTATGGAGTGTAGCTATGTACCTAAATTTTGTGTTATCTCATCTCTCTGTGTTTTTAATGTGTGTATATATTTGTGGATAGAATCAGAGAGACAGACCTCTGCCTTTACTTATTTGGCCATGTTTCCAGTGCTGTTATTTGAATCCCATTCTCATAAAATACCCGGTCTTTGACGCCATCAAAAATCTATTCATTCATTTTTTCCACAATTATTTACTGAATACCAATTTTGTATTAGAATCTGGACAGACACTGGGGATACTATAATGAATAAAACTAAAATTCATGTGAGAGATTATAGTTTAGAGGAGGAGAATTGTCTGTGTCTACTGGCTCAGATGTTCTCTCAATTGGGCAACTCACTATGCATTGGATTAGCCAGGATGGTTCTATGAATTCATATGAACTTGCTCAGCCTGACTGGCTTTTCAGCCTCATCTCATTATGTAGACTTGACAAAATTGAAATAAGTCTAAGTGGTTTTGTGAAGATATGACTTTCAAAGATCTCCATATGATATTATCTTTCAGCTTTATTTTAAAATAAGACTAATTGTGATTTGATGGCCAGAATTCATGTGTTCCCATTCTGGTAAGATATAATTAGCTCTGGTCAAGTTAGGCTTTTTTAACCACCCAGCTATAAACTGAATTTAACATATGAAACAGGGCTATTTAAAGGAAGGTCTCCATGGCCTTAGATGAAATGTAAATTTGGCAAACTCAGGTGGCTTTTGTGTAGGCGAGGCCATTTAATTCTGATTCTCCATCACTTAAAATATAATCCAAATTTTATAGGCTTGGATTTGGTACAAATTTCATAAACTTAGTTTTAATTAGTGTATATCACTAGGGTCCTAAACACAGTAGATCTTTAATAGATGTTTATGTCAAGGGGCTAATATCTGAAAAATACTAATGTGCTTTTATTTTTTAATATTTACCCATTTATAACCTTCCCCATATTTAGCTATATGTACCCATTTCCCTCATTGTTTACATGTGCTCTGTGTGTGTGTGTGTGTGTGTGTTTCTGTGTGTGTGTGTTAAGGGAGGGGATTAGGATTATGAGAGAAAAAAAGATAGTGTCAATATTAAACACTTAGCACCATGAGCAGGACTTTTTCCTAGTCTGTAGCAGGCCATAATCTTAAAAAGCAAGCATTGTCAAGAGAGAAAAAGCTTTAACACTTTTATTAATATTACTATAATTCATAAATCATATATATTATGGCATACAAAATGATATTTTGGCATATGTATACAGTGTGGGATGATTAAATCAAGCTAATTAAACATATTATCACCTTACCCATAATTCACTGTGGTGAGATATTTGAAGTTTTAAAAACATTTTTAAAACTTTCCTTTGAAATATGGAGATCCATGCTTGAAAATTAGGTAGTTCATGTGATATCTTCCACAGACAAGAGGGGAGATGCTCCTTCCATCATTTAGGTTGGGACTTAGTATCTCCAGCAGTGTGGACAGGATGTAAAGAAAATTCATTACGAAGAGAAATAGCAACTGAAAAATCTCTTCTACCTCAGGTGATGTGATTGGGAGAAAGTAAACATAGAATGATGACAGTTGAGGACATTTGTGTTTCATGACCTTTTTTTTTTTTTCTTTACCTAGACTAAGATCTCAAGGTAGGAGTCTTGTTAGAGAACTTAAAATAAAATCCAGAGTCACAGGGTTTTTTTTTCTATATTGCATTTGGAACTCCAGAAGGAAACTGTCTTTCAGTGTTCCCTCCATATCAAAAAGGGGCAACAGCCACACCTGAGTCAGATTGATAAATGTCATTGCTGTGTGGAGAAAGGATCTGAATTTAGTGCCCCAGAGTCTCTTTCAGCTTCTGTGTGGTATAGAAGTTTTGTAGAAGTTCTTGCATGCTCTGTGGAAATACAGGAAGGTGACAGACAGTGTTAGAGAATCATCATGATGCATGCTGAGAGTTGCAGAGTAGGGAATCGTGAACACGGTCATAGTGATTATAGAAAAAAATCAAGAAGCAACATTGTCTTTCAGATCTGAGTACAGTAAATGTGTGAGCCCTTACACTCTTGTAAGAATATATAAATAACATCCTTTCCTATACACATTTGTTTAAACTAGCCCTGATAAGTTATCTCTGCTAAAGCATGTCAGAAAGGGCCTGCTCTTACTCCTCCTTTTCCCAATTAAGTTTGACTGAGACAAGCACAGTTATGTTTGAGTGCCCTGGGCCTCTGCAGGTCTCTATTCTGATGGCTCATATCTGCTCAGATTTTGGCAGCTCATCTAGGGCATTGTCTTAGTTCATTTTCTGAGGCTTAAAACAGAACCTGGGTAATTTATAAAGAAAAAGAATTAATTTCTTACAGTTAGGCAGGCTGAGAAGTCTGAGGTTGAGAGGCCATATCTGGGATGGCCTTCTTGTTGGTAAGAGCTGTCAGGTAAGTCCCAAGGTAACACATAGCATCACATGACCAGGGGACATACGGTGCACCCTGAGCATGCTAGCTTAGGTCACTCTTCCTTCCTTTTCATATAAAGTCACCAGTCCCCCACTCATAATAATCCATTAATCCATGAATGGATTAATCCATTCAGGAGGGCACAGACCTCATGGCCCAATCACCTCTTAAGGGCCCTGCCTCTCAGTACTGCTACATTAGGAGTTAAGTTTCAACATGAGTTTTCGAGGGAAAAAAATATTCAAACCACAGCAGCCATAGTGGCCTGAACACCATTTTTAAATGCAGCTATGAAGGGGTAGCCCCGGGAAACATACATGTCTCTTCTATGAGTCAATACTTAATCAAGTCCAGCTATGCCATTGAGAAGAGAGTATTCAACTTTCACTTTCCTCTTGTCCATGCATGACTCTAGACACAGTCTGCCTATTGGTAGCACCTCGTTGTTACTGGAAGATTGGCAAGCTAGGCTGCAAAAGGTCCTTTGATCTTTTCCACTGGTTGACACCCACATTTAACTTAACAGGCCAAGCTGTGCATTGGCGATAAAGGTTTAGGTAACTCTACTTCTACACTGATTTCAATAAGGTGTGAATTCAAAAGACCTAACAGGGCTGTATGTGTGTTTCACAGCCTCTCTATGTCTCTATCTTCACCTCTAGAACTGCAGAAATCTATAGCTCTCTCTTTAGAATTAGAGACAATGGCAGGTGTAAGAAGAAATAAAGGAGTGGAATTTTATTTTTGTGTTTAAGTATTTTAGTGATATAGGAAATGTAAAATCAAAAAGTCCATTCAGGTTGTACTTGATATATTCTAAAGCCACACTATAGTGAGAGGAAATAAAGTTTATTTAAATTCAGTTTGTCAAAGTACAAATATCTTTGTACAACTTACGTTCTTCTTTCTTAAAACTTAAAAGCTAGTAGTATATTTTATAAGCATTTCTCCAGATTTTGATTTCACAATCCACAATAAAAAGACTGTTTAAAAGAACTTATTTGTAGAAATTCTAAAGTTGTGCATTTACTTGAAAAGTTACTTTCACAAAGGGTTTTTCAATATTTCATCTTAGTTGTATAATTAAACAGAATAAATGGAAGAATTACACATAAAATACTATTCAACTAGCCATTTTTGTTATTTTAAAACTTAACAAGTCTTTTTTTTTTTTTATATAGCACACATATCCTAACATTTTCTACTGGATAATATAACAGTAACAGAAAAGCATGTGTTGGTACAAAAAAGATAACTATAGAATTGACCAGGCTTATTGAATATTTTGGTGTTCCCATGTGTTAACACTGAGTAACATCCTCAATTTTAAGGTACTTTAAAAATTGTTTTGTTTTTGAAAACTTGTTTAACTTAACGATATTTGTTTATAGAGTTAACATAAATGTTTGAGGAGAACATTACATTCTATACAAGTGAGGCCCTGACACTCTGAAGCTGAGGTCACAGTTTGTATCAATATGATAAATATTCATTATTTCATTGTATAGACTGTGTATATGAAATTACAGTAATATTTTACTGGTAACAAATCTAACAAGATAATATGTTAAGAAATACCAAATTTATATGTGTGCTCTGGCAGATGAGCAAACCTGTAAAAATTTTGACATACCGCGATCAACATAACAAGTTTTGTCAAAGAGCCATTATTTTTTTAGCTTCAACACAGTAAAAGCTTTCCTCTTGGTAAATGTAAGGAATTGTTTAGCTCTTTGGGATATTATTTGAATAGGAGAATAATGGCTTACTAAAAATCACACTATTCTAAGCTTTAGATGTTACCTTTTATATTTCTATGTTCCAGATAATAAGAGTACGTTTTTTAAAAAAAAACTGAAAATGTTTTTAACTTTTAAGGCTCTTACCTTGAAATGTATTAATGCTTTTATAACCTGCACACTGTGGCCACCATCAATTTTCATTAAATATTTTAGCATTTTGTAGTAATGGGGCTATATCTAGACTGTGGGATTTCCTTTTATATTATCAGCTGCGAAAGCACATATGCTTAATAATTCATATGTAATTCATGTTTAAAAACGTTTCGGCTTCACGAATGAAAGCAATTGTAACTACAAATTAAAATGATACAACAATTTTCCAGTCTGATTATTAATTGCAGGAAAAAGAACATGTATTTCTTTCTCCCTTTGTCCTACTCAGTTTCTTGAAATTATCTAGTTTCATTCCATTTGATAAAGATAGATAGCTTTAGGGTAGCTTCACCACTACAACACATGCACCAGCTCTTCCAATGTTAACAGGAACTTCCTAAAACACAAAATAAGAAACAAAACACTGTTGGAACTCTGATTTCAGCATAATATAAAATATTATATTCAATATAGTTGAAGAAGTCCTTACTTAATTTGGTCTAACATCACCTTGTCTAAAGATGAGATAATCTGCAGCCTAGAAAACAGTGTAGTGTGCTGGAAAAAACATAGCCTTTAGAATGGTAAAAACCTGAGTTTGAGGATCAGGTGATCTTAAGTAAATTTCATCTCTCTGATAATATTCTCACTTGAAAAATTACACCAAATTATACTAACACGTCAAGGTTTTTGTGATGATTGAGTGAAATAATGAATGACAATTTGCACTTAGTAGTTATAATCCCACCATCTGTTAGTTCTCTTTCACTCTTTTCAAGATCACACGATGAAACAGTGACACAGCCAAAAATATAATCCAGGACTCTTAGCTACTTGTCTACAATCTTCAGAAAAATAAATCCCGTAAGCTGGTCAAACATCTTGATTATTGTATTTGTCCTAACACCTTGCATGATATTTTTTTTCCTTCGATTTCTGGTTGGTCCTAAGCATTGACAAAACAGCAGCTACCTACATTGTAGCATTTGAGGGTTTCTGAGTCTTAATGAATCAGATTATTGGAGGAGAGAGATTAAAATCTCATTATCAGCTGTCATTATATTAGCACCAATTTATTTAGAGCAATAGATAGCTGTACCCTGTAGAATATAGAGTAGCATGAAGTCAGTAGAAAGGAAGATGAAGTTAGGTACCAAATACAAGGTTTGCCTTTTTGTGGAGATGGTAAAGAGTTAATCATACTTTATATTTTTTGTTAACTCATCATTTAATTGACAAAGTATTAAATATTTTAGAATAAATCTAGGGCTATCACTGGCAAAGCAGTCAAAAGGGTCAAATTTGCCTTTAACATCTCAAAGATGCCATTTCAATGCTATTTTTTGTACTCTCTTTGAAATTAGTTCTAATAGATGCCCAGCACTTTTGAGAGGTTTTAATTCTGGTCCCTTATTGTTTACTAAATTATTGACTGACTGAAGAATTTAGGAGTATTGCAGTCTACACAGTCTCTATATGGTAAAGATTGAAGGCTTGTCTCCTAGGTGCCAGCCAATAAAAAGGGCAGATATTTGCGGAAGAAGATGCTGCCCTTTGGTTCTCAGGTCACAACATATACATAAAAAGTTGGCCATGGTAAAATGCTTTATTTTATTTATTTATTACTGAAGTATTTTATTGGATTCGCTTATTTTCTTTAAAGGGAATGCTTTCATGAAGTCACGAGAATGGTCTGTCCCCTTTTATATAAGATGGGTTATAAGTTGATGGGTCCTGCTATCAACTATCATGTCATATCATATCAACTAGATCAACTTGTAATTCTCTAAGGCATAGATAGAGCACATACTATAAATTTCACTAAAAGATCTTGTTAGGGCCTAGAGAAGAGAATACAACTAATTTCAAAAATATAATTTAATATCTTCTTTTTAAAACCTGAAATATAGTAATTTGAATATTTTAATTCGAATACCTCTTTCCATTCATTTCTCTGTGCATCATATGACTCAACTGTGTTCAAATAAGTATGTCCGTCATATCCTCCAACCACGTAGAGTTTGTCTCCAAGAGGGCACACAGCAACAGCATCTCGAGGAACACTCAGAGGTGCCACAGTTGACCATGAATCACCTTTTGGATCATACCTTAAAGGATTTAGAAAGATAATTGGGAGGAAAAGTCCAATAGAGTTACAACTGAAAATAACAGACATTCTTAAAATGTATACCTATCTGAAACATAGGATTAAAAACACTATACAAATATCAAATGTAGATTGGATAATATTAAGGATATGTACGTGACAAAATTACCTTCAGCCACTAGGTGTCTCTCAAAGCATATTGAAAAAGTTTCCCTTTCCAAGATACCATGCACTTCATTAATCAGTGCTCAGATAAACTTTGAGGAAATTTCACATATTGTGATCCTGGCATTATATAAAAAAGTCTCCTCTCATTTAGTAGTCTGATTGAAGGGCTTTTGTTTTTCTTTTATTATTTATTTGTCGAAGTTATACATAAGATGCCTGATCCATTTTATATGAGAACTCATATTTTAAAGTAAACCTGAATATAATTGCCTTTCTATTTTTGCTGTATGAAATGTAGTACTTTGGTTTTAATACTATTTGCAGATAGAATGGTCATAGACTTATCCTGTGTTTTTCCCTGCTGAGAGTTCTTATTTATCTTCAGTGGAGTCAAGGTTTATTGTTTTCTATTTTAATCTGAAGTTAACTCCTTATCCCCAAACCTCTTTAGTAAGCAAAATGAAAAATAATTCAGTAAGTAATATTAACATATTTTCTAGAAATTCTTTCCTAACCTTTGAAGCTTATTTTTAAAAATATATAACACTAAAATCTAAAAGGTGAACAATGAAGAAAACTCATAAAATTACACACAAAAATGCTCCCTGACTTTATATTGGCCTATTTGTAAAAGCCTAATGAAATATATTTATTTTACAAAGAAGATTTTCATTTATCACTTTCCACTGATATATTTGTATTACCCCCTCTGACCACTGTTTGTATCTCTTTAATGATATTCTAAATCATCTGATTTCAGTTTCCATCTGAAATTGCTCTCACATCTACAATTTTAAAAATATTATCTGAAATCAGCAATAACTCAGACAACTTAAATTCTATATCATTGAGTGTCATGTAGCATATCACTTTAAATTCAGATGTTATGGTAAAAGTCAGAGCCAGAAAATTCATAGCTGCATGCTCTGGCTAAGCCAAATCTTCAAAACAATTGCTATTGTTAATTGATGCTTCACTCAGCTGACAGTCAGGGTACACACACAGATGAATCATGAACCAAAACTCATAGAAGGATTTCCTCATAAATTTGCATCCAAAGACCCAAGACTTTTCTGCATGGGCATAGTACTAATGCTCAAAATCTGGCTAACATTATTATTATCTGGATACTGCTTGATTAAGAAGAGGAGTTTGGGGAATGTTGACTCTTTTGAAGAAAAACTAATTGGTAATATGGTTATCATCTGTAAAGATACACAGGAGCAGTTATAAAAGACAAAAGTAGTCACCGCATATTCAAATTAAAATAGCATTACTTCTCTTTCTTGTTTCTCTTTTGCTTTTCTGTCTCCCCTTACTTTGAATGTAAGTATGTATATTCTAGTGGAAATGAAATTGAGCCTGAAGTCAAGAGAATGAGTCATGGTCTTATTTTCCCACATAGAGTAACTAGGAATCATTTGCTTGATTTATTTGCCTCAATTTTCTCATTAACATTATAGTAATAGTGATCCCTGACCCAACCAATGTGATGGTTTTAGAAGACTTTAATTTGAATTATTATCATAAGTAATTGGGTATGCCAAAAGTGTTTTAGCAAAAAAAAAAAAAAAGCATCAGAAAAATTGTTCAAGACATGGAAATGAGGATTATCTGATTCCGTAGAGGGTGGATGGACCTTTAAGTGGCTTTTTTTTTTTTTTTTTGAGACGGAGTCTCGCTCTGTCTCCCAGGCTGGAGTGCAGTGGCGCGATCTGGGCTCACTACAAGCTCCGCCTCCTGGGTTCACGCCATTCTCCTGCCTCAGCCTCCCAAGTAGCTGGGACTACAGGCGCCCGCCACCACGACCGGCTAATTTTTTTGTATTTTTAGTAGAGACGGGGTTTCACCGTGTTAGCCAGGATGGTCTGGATCTCCTGACCTCGTGATCCGCCCGCCTCAGCCTCCCAAAGTGCTGGGATTATAGGTGTGAGCCACTGCGCCCAGCCCCTTTAAGTGACTTTCTACTGACAAGCCTGTTTTACAACTTTGCGTGTGTGGAAGTTAAGTTGTAAAAAGCTGAGTTTCCTT
Source organism: Homo sapiens (assembly GCF_000001405.40). NCBI lineage: Eukaryota > Metazoa > Chordata > Mammalia > Primates > Hominidae > Homo > Homo sapiens. Next base: position 87,662,565 of record NC_000023.11, on the reverse strand, counting down.
GTGATTTTTTTCTATAACTATACAAATTCATTTTGCCTGATAGAAATAGAATTGATTTCCACAATGTAGAAATACTGACTCCCAAAGATTAACTTTTATTGTTCTATATGATTTCAACTACTTTTGCATCTATTGAGAAATTATTTCAGCATTCAAAGTTGTCTAAGTACCTTTTATTCAAATACCCTTTTGAACTTGTTTTAACATCTTATAATTGTTTTCTTCATCTATGAATCACATAAAATGTTTAACACATGTTCATTTTATATTTTTTAATTTTTTAATTGATATATATTTGTACACATTTATGGGGTACATGTGATATTTTGTTACATATATAAAACGTGTCATTTTATATTTGTGTGAATGCCATGATTTTAACTTTTTGAAAATTATATTTTAGCACTGGTCATTTTCTCAATGCCTTTTCAAGGAAAATGACAATAATAGCGTAATAATAGGTGATAATGTTAGTAATAAAAATAATACGAATTATAGCAATAATACTAAAATAAAACAACCATACTCACTTAGTCACTCCTATTGAGTAATTAACATATGACAAGCAATGTTGTAAGTGCATTACCACATTTTATCTTGTACCCTACGCGGTTGATACTATTATTATTCCCACTTTACACATGACGAAACTGATGTTTAGAGATGTAAAGTAACTGGGTCAAGGTCACATAATTAATAAACAGTAGATTTAAAGTTTGAACTCAGATCTATCTGACATCTAATCTGATGTGTTTAACTACTATACTATGCATTTGTTTAGTATGTGTAAAGTTCTCGTTTTTCTCTTTTTAAAAAAATTTTAAGAGTATGAGAATTTTAAAAATTAGTAAATTTGGGAGTGTAATTATGTCAGAAAATGAGGTTAAACATCTACTTATAGGATATGTATGTAAATATTTAATTTTGTAGTCTGTGCCACAGATTAGATCAGAAAATATAAATTAAGTTTATATTTTTAGTGGCTTGTGTAAATACATATTTAAATTGATATAGACATTTTAAACCATAATAAGGCTTGTTCTGCTGTCAACACTCTATGGTGCTAGAATATGCAGCCCAATTTATTTTTTTCAAGTTTTAACACAGAATTCCACAATTTCAAGGGTTCACAGAATAAAGCTAAGAAAATGCTGGCATTATAATAATGGGAATAAAAATGATTATTTAATTAAAATAGTTGTATATTCCACATCCTTTTTTTGTTATGAGATGTATACTTTTTTGTGATAAAATCAACTTATATAGTTTCATACATTTAGATACAGGAAGCCAAGCTAATGCAACGTAAGTTTTACCACGAAGCCCCAACAACAAGCTTCCAAACCGCAATAGAAACAAGAAAGCACAAACTATAATAAATGAAAACTATCTTGCTAGGACTTATTACAAGAAAATTGCCATTATAAGACAGAATTATTTGTATCTCTGATTATATATTTACATGATTTACTTCTTGACAGGTACAATTTTTGTGAAGCCAGATGTGATTTTCATAGCAAAAAACCTTCACAGCTTCTTATTTACTCTGTATCTTTGTACAGTTCTGTGTTATTTTGGATAAAATCCTTTAGGCAACTTTTAACATTTCTGTAAAAAACAACGTGGGTTTTCCATATCAATCTTTCTCCTTGACCTCTCCCTCCCATGAGTTTCGCACTCCGATGCAGTTTTTTGTTTGTTTGTTTGTTTGTTTGTTTTTTAAAGACAGAGTCTCATTCTGTTGCCCAGGTTGGAGTGCAGTTGCACGATCTCAGCTCACCATAATCTCCGCCTCCCAAGCTCAAATGATTCTCATGCCTCAGCCTCCCCAGTACCTGGGATTACAGGCATGCGCGACAATGCCCAACTAATTTTTGTATTTTTTTAGAGATGGGGTTTTGTCATGTTGGTCAGGCTGGTCTCAATCTCCTGGCCTCAAGTGATCCACCCACCTCGGCCTCCCAGAGTGTTGGCGTTACAGGTGTGAGGCACCGCGCCTGGCTCCAATGTAGTTTGAAGTGTCAATGAAATCTTAAGATACCATAATTATTTTTATACAAATTCATTAGCACTTTTGATCAAGACATTTTTTCCCAAATATAGTAATTCCAGATATTATATGTTTATGTTATATATGATTTAGTTTTGCCAACTATCAAGAGTTTTATAAAGAAGTTATAAGTATATATGGCTTTTAGGTGTAGAACCATAAATACCTTCACAGGCATAAGAATAGAATTCAATGCCTAGGTACCATTACTTAAAATAAAAACTGCACTTACCTTTGTTGAATACAATTATGGATTTTTAAAATATCTGTGTACATTCTCTGGTAGTCAGGCTTGTACCCTAACTTTTATGAGTTGTGTGCTGTCTATGACTTTTTGTAGTCTACAGAAGGCATCAATAAATTATCTAGGCAATTTAAAATTTTTGTGGAATCTGTCCTTTTTAAAAAAATGTCCTGCAGTGTTGTTTAAACACAGTTTAAGTCTACTGTATTCTTTGGGTTTTTCTAAAAGGAAACATGATTTGGGCCATGAATTTGGGCCATGTATTTGGGGAATCAAATACACACACGTGCACACACACACACACACACACACTCATACGCGCACACACACATCCGGAAAGCACGCATCCCTAGAAATGCCCAAGAATACATCAAGCCTTTATACTGAGCTGACCTCAGGCACAGAACATGACCTGCTAATGTGTGATGGTCTAATGCATGAAGCCAGTCCTGAAAGACTGGGAAGGTGTATGTTTTTTCAAAAACCCAGTTTTCAGCAAAAGATCAAAAGGCATACAAAGAAACAGAAAAAAATAAAAACAAAGTCAATTTTAAAATAACAAATTAAGTCTCCAGATAATCTTCCTGTAGAAATATAAAGATCTTACTTACAAGACAATAACATAGCTGTTTTATGCTAAAGCCAAGAGAAAAACAGAAATAATGGAAATAAGTTAAAAAAAATATAATAAAGAAACGTAAAAATTTTTGAGCTGAAAAATAAAATGACAATTTAAAAATTCAGTAGAGGGATTCAATGAGAGACTCAAGAAACAGAAGTAAGAATAAGTGAACTTAAAGATAGGTCATTTAAAATTATTGCATCTGAGAAGCAAAAAGAATAAAGAAAAATGAGGCCGGGCATGTTGGCTCATGCCTGTAATCCCAGCACTTTGGGAGGCCGAGGTGGGTGGATCACAAGATCAGGAGTTCAAGACCAGCCTGGCCAATATGGTGAAACTCCATCACTACTGAAATAACAAAAATTAGCCCAGTGTGGTGGTGCACACCTGTAGTCCCAGCTACTCAGGAGGCTGAGGCAAGAGAATTGCTTGAACCCGGGAGGTGGAGGTTGCAGTGAGCTGAGATTGCACCACTGCACTCCAGCCTGGGCGACAGAGTGAGACTCCACCTCAAAAAAAAAAAAAAAAAAAAAAAAGAAAGAAAAGAATAAAGAAATATGAATAGAGCCTAAGGGACTTATGGGCTACCATCCAGTGGACAAATATATGCATTTCAAAAATCTCAGAAGAAAAAAAGAAAAAGAGAAAAGAACAGAAAGAATATTTGAAAAAATAATAGCTGAAAAACCATATCAAGACACATTATAAACTGTCAAAAGTCAGAGATAAAGAGACAGTATTGTAAGCAAGAAGAGTAAAGCAACTTGTCACATAAAAGGAATTCTCAATGAGATGACTAATAAATTTCTCAGAAAAACCTTAGAAGACAGAGGCATTTTTTTTTAAAGAGGGCAAATTAGGGGCTTTGCTGGCATGCCTCACTCACGAGGAAGTAGCAAAATAGTGCGTAGAGATTCACACTGAAAACTTTTATCCAAGAAGGAACACAGGTGATTAACATAAAAGCAAAAGAAACCTCAGATTCTTTGATGAATTTGGTGGCAGCAGCCTGTGCTGTGGGTTCGGTGGAAAATTGAGAGTGAGTCCCCAGTGCATGAGATGGGGAGAAAGTGTCTCCACAATACACATTCCCACTGGGGAGCTGGGTAATCTAGGCCAAGGGGGAGCTCCTTGACACTACCAATCGCTGAATCTGATGTTGGGAGCAGTGGGGAGACCTTGAGAAGGGGTAGCAGCAGGAAGTGTGTTGCACGCATTCCAGACCCTGGCTCCAATAGAAGGTGGCCAATAAATATCCTAACTATAGGAGTCTCTACTGAAATCTGTAAGCCACATGGGCAGCAGTCACTAGCTGGGCAAGTCTCCAGACTGAGATTTGTGATCTAGTCTCAAACAGGAGAGGAGTCCCCATGGCCAGAACTGAGAGAAGACAGTGGTATGGGATTGAAGTGTGCGTGCAGGAGGTGGGTGACCTCCCCTTTGCAAGACCAGGCTAGGAAGGGTATCATCTGGGAGCCCCAGTTATTGTCCCAGCCAGGAAAGTCTTCAGCCTGGGACAGTTTTGCAACCTGAGATGTTCTGTTTGTAACTTAGCTGTTTGTTTCAGCTTGCTGCCAGTAGTAGGCTTCAGGAGGGAGCTCTGCAGGGTGGTGACCCAGGAAGCAAGGCAGGTCTCACTGCCGCCTGCTAAATTTTGGAGTCCAAGCCACTCCTCATTTCCTATGCTGGCTGTTTGGAATGACAGAGGTTTCTCCACTCCTTCTAGTATTGCCCCAATGGCCTGAGAACTACTTTTTTTCACCCATCAGGGCTAGCACTTGCACCTGCTACTGGGGAGCCTGATTATGGGTATGCCTGATGCAGCCCCATCAAAATTTTACCCCATTACCCACCTCATAGGCAAAGCATGGGATCAGAACCCCTGGGAGTTCCACAACCCAGCACATTCCCTGGGACATTAGAGTACTTCTCCTTGTTAGTAAAGATCAAGCACAGACCTTACTACCACCACCCCAGCTGCCTGTCACCTGCAAGTGCCTTCAACTGGCCAGGAGGTCAACCTGCACAGCCCATTACAACTGCTGACATAAGTGCACAGTGCTCGGGAAGGAAAAGTGCTTTGTGCAACCTCTGCTACCATCATCACCCACACCACCCCAGCTGCTTAGGAGGCCCTGAACCTGCTCACCTGCCTTGTACATTAATACTACAACTGGCATTTGAGCAAGTCACTACACTAAGGCTATTTATAACCAAGGAAATTATACAGCGCCTACATCACTCCTCCACCATCTCTGTCAGGGTTAGTGCTTGTGTCCACCACTGGGATACCTGAGGGTGGCCCCAGCTGGTCCAGCTCTGCCCAACTTCACCCTCTTCATGGTGCTGAGGATAAAGCCCAGGCCACTGGGTGTTCCACAGGCCAGCCCACTGCCTGAAGCACCAGAGGCCTTCTCCTGATAAGCAAATATAAAGCATAAACCCATCTGCTACCACCACCACCACCACTGGCTCTTACCTCCTTCAAGTGCCACGTACTGGCCTGTAGGTTAAAATGCACAACTCAATACAAAATCCATTGACACCAATGCAGATGAGCTTATGGAGAGCTCTGCCACCCCAGCTCCAATGGAGGCAGTGAGCCTGCTCACACACCTAGAATATTGCTATGACAACTGGCACTTCAGAAAATCACCACACTAAGGCTACCTATAATGAAAAAAATTCATACAGAGTCTTTGCCACTGAAAACACTGAGACTCAAAGCCTGATCTTGAATGATCTTATTCAAAATAGGTTATATTCACATCCTTAAGGGAAAAAAATGTCTCATCCAAATAAAAGTAAGTTTAAAAATAAGAAGATGTGATATTTTTCTTTTCAAATGAGAAGGAACCAATGGAACAATTCTGGAAGTATAAAAGAACAGGGCGTTATAATAACCCTAAAGCATTGCACTAACTTTTTAGCAATAGTTCCTAACCAAAATGAAATACATGAAATTTCAGATAAATAATTCAAAATATTGATTTTAAAGAAGCTCAACAGGATTCAAGAGAAAGCTGAAAACCAATACAAAGAAATCAGAAAACCAATCCAGGATATGAATGATAAATTTGCCAAAGAGATAGAGTTTTTAAAAAAAGAAAAAAAAAGAAACTCCTGAAAAGGAAAATTCATTGAAGGAATTACAAAATACAGATGAAATCTTCAACGATAGACTAGACCAAGCAGAAGAAAGAATCTCAGAGCTTGAAGACAGTACTTTTTAATTTATCCAGTCAGACAAAAACAAAAAAAAATAGAATTAAAAAGTGAGCTAAGATTTTGATAAGTATGGAACTATGTAAAATGTCCCAACTTACAAATTATAGGTATTCCTGGGGGAGAAGAAGAAACCCCAAAGTCTGGGAAACTATTTGAGAAAATAATTAAGGAAAACTTCCCTAGTCCAGGAAGAGATCTAGGTATCTTGATACAAGAAACTCAAAAAACTCCAGAGAAACATTGTAAGAAGAATCTCACCAAGACATACAGTCATCAGACTAAGTTCAATATGAAGGAAAAAAATCCTAAAATCAGCAAAAGAAAAGCATATAGTAACCTATAAAGGAAACGCCATCAGACTAACAGTGGACTTCTCAGCAGAAGCCTTACAAGCAAGAAGAGACTGGGATTTTATTTTCAAGCCATTTAAGGAAAAAAGCTGTAAACCCTGACTTGGGTATACTGCCAGAATAAGCATCATAAATGAAGAAGAAATAAAGTATTTTGCAGGCAAGCAAACACTGAGAAAATCTGTCACCACTAGACCAAACTTACAAGAAATGCTCAAGGAAGTTATAAACATGGATACAAAATTTGTTCAATACTTGCCATAATAAAAACATCTGAAAGTATAAAACTCAAAAGTCTTATAAAACAATTACACAAATAAGGCTACAAAGTAGCTATATAACAATTAATATTATGACAGGAATAAGACCTCATGTGTCAATATTAACCATGACTGTATATGGATTAAATATGCCAATTAAATAGGTTGACAAAATGGATTAAAAAAAAGGATCCGACCATACACTTCTTACAAGAAACTCACCTTATTGATAAAGACACTTGGAGACTTAAGTTAATGGGGTGGAAAAAAATATTCAATTTAAATGGAAAACAAAAGCAAGCCAGAGTAGTTATATTTACATCTGATCAAGCAAACTTTAAATAAACAACAGTTTAAGAAGACAAGTAATGTCATAATATAATCATGAAGAAATCAATTCAACAAAAAGATGTAACAATCCTAAATATATATGCACCAAATACTGGGGCACCCAGATTTATAAAACAAATATTACTTAAGAAAAGAGCTAGGAAGCAATGCAATAATAGTGGGGTACTTCAACATCCCACTGACAGCACTAGGCAAATTATTGAGGCAGAAAATCAACAAAGAAACACAAGAAAATGGCCTTGGCAAAAAATTCCTGACTAAGACCTCAAAAGCACAGGCAATGAAGGCAAAAATATACAAATGGGACTTAAGTAAAAAACTTCTGCATGGCCATGGAAAGAATCGATAGCGTGAACAGAGAATCTTCAGAATGGGACAAAATATTTGCAAAGTATGTATGTGGCAAAGGGCTAATATCTGAAATTTAGAAGGAACTCAAACATCTCAGTCATAATGAGAAAAACTCAAATAACCCTATTAAAAGTGGTCAAGTAATATGAAGAGATAATTTTTAAAAACGACATATAAATGGCCAAAAAGCATATGCAAAAATGCTCAACATTACTAATCATGAGAAAAATGTGAATTAAAACCACAATGAGATACCATTTTATACCAGTAAAAATGGCTATTAATAAAAAGTCAAATAATAACAGATGTTGGCAAAGATGCAGAGAAAAGGGAACACTTACACACTGTTGGTGGGAATGCAAATAAGTACAATCTTTATGGCAATCAGTATGCAGCTTTCTCAAAGAGCTAAAAATATATCTACCATTTGATGCAGCAATCCCACTACTACGTATCTACCTGAAGGAAAATACATCATTACACCAAAAGATACCTGCACTTATAGGTTTAGTGCAGCACTATTCACAATAGCAAATATATGAAATCAACCTAAATGTCCACCAATGGATGACTGGATTAAAATTATTATACACACACAAACACACACACACACACACACATATACATACACCATGGAATACTACTCAGCCATAAAAAATCATGTTTTAAATAATCATGTCTTAAACAAAATAACTCAGAAACAGGAAGTCAAATATCACATGTTCTCAGTTATAAGTGGGAGGTAAATAATGCATACACATGGATATAGGAAGTGGAGTAGTAGACACTGGAGACAGAATAGTGAGGCAGGTGGAGGGTGGTGAGAAATGAAAAAGTACTTAATTGGTTCAATATATACTATTCAGATGATGGCTACACTAAAAGCCCAGACTTCTCCACTTTGCAATAGGTCCATGTTGCAAAACTGTACTTATACTGCCTAATTTTTTTAAATTTTATTTTATTTTATTTTATTAATTTCCAGGGTACATGTGCAGGATGTGCAAGTTTGTTACATAGGTAAAGTTGTGCCACGGTGGTTTGCTGCACCTATCAATCCATCACCTAGGTATTACACCCAGCATGCATTAGCTATTCTTCCTTATGATCTCCCCGACCCCCACACTCCCCTGACAAGCCTCAGTGTTTGCTGTTCCCCACCCTGTGTCCATGTGTTCTCCTTGTTCAGCTCCCACTTATAAGTGAGAACAGGAGGTGTTTAATTTTCTGTTCCTGCATTAGTTTGCTGAAGATAATGGCTTCCAGCTTCATACATGGCCATGAGAAGGATATGATTTCATTCCTTTTTATGGCTGCATAGTATCCCATGGTGTATATGTACCACATTTTCTTTATCCAGTGTATCATTGATGGGCGTTTGGGTTAATTATATGTCTTTGCTATTATGAATGGTGCTGTAATGAACATATGCATGTGAGTATCTTTATAATAAAATGACTTATATGTCTTTGGGTATATACCCAGTAATGAGATTGCTGGGTCAAATGGTATTTCTGGTTCTAAATGTTTGAGGAATTGCCACACTGTCTTCTACAATGGCTGAACTAATTTTACATTCCCACCAACAGTGTAAAAGCATTCCTATTTCTTCAGAACCTCACCAGCATCTATTGTTTCTTGACTTTCTAATAATTGCCATTATGATGGGCATGAGATGGTATCTCATTGTGGTTTTGATTTGCATTTATCTAACGATAAGTGATGTTGAGCTTTTTTTCATGTTTGTTGGTCTCATGTATGTATTCTTTTGAGAAGTGTTGACAAAGCTGACAAAAACAAGCAATGGATAAAAGATTCCCTATTTAATAAATGGTACTGGAAGAACTGGCTACCCATATGCAGAAAATTGAAACTGGACCCTTCCTTACACCTTATACAAAAATTAACTGAAAATGGATGACATGGTTTGGCTATGTCCACACCCAAATCTCATCTTGAATTGTAGCTCCCATGATTCCCACGTGTTGTGGGAAAGACCCAGTAGGAGATAATTGAATCATGGCGGCAGTTTTTCCCATACTGTTCTCATGGTAGTGAATAAGTCTCACAAGTTCTGATGGTTTTATAAGGGGAAACTCATTTTGCTTGGCTCTCTGATTCTCTCTTGCCACCACCATGTACGAAGTGCCTTTCACCTTCTGCCATGGCCTCCACGGCCACATGGAACTGTGAGTCCATTAAACCTCTTTTTCTTCCCAGTCTTGGGTATGTCTTTATCAGCAGTGTGAAAATGGTCTAGTACAGTACATTGGTACCAGTAGAGTGGGGCACTGCTGAAAAGATATCTGAAAATGTGGAAGTGAATTTGGAACTGGGTAACAGGCAGAGGTTGGAACAGTTTGGAAGACTCAGAAGAAGATAGGAAAACGTGGGAAAGTTTGGAACTTCCTAGAGTCTTGAGACTTGCTGAATGGCTTTGCCCCAAATGCTGATAGAAATGTGGACAATAAAGTCCAGGCTGAGGTGGTCTCAGATGGAAATGAGGAACTTGTTGGGAATTGGAGCAAAGGTGACTCGTGTTTTGTTTTAGCAAAGAGACTGGCAGCATTTTGTCCCTGCCCTAGAAATTTGTGCAACTTTAAACTTGAGAGAAATTATTTAGGGTATCTGGTAGAAGAAATTTATAAGCAACAAAGCATTTAAGAGGTGCTATTAGCATTCAGTTTTATAAGGGAAGCAGAGCATAAAAGTTCAGAAAATTTTCAGCCTGACAATGTGATAGAAAATTTCTTTTTCTGAGGAGAAATTCAAGCCGGCTGCAGAAATTTGCTTAAGTAATGAGGAGCTGAATGTTAACTGCCAAGACAATAGGGAAAATGTCTCTAGGGCATGCCAGAGATCTTCATTGCAGCCCCTCCCATCACAGGCCTGGAGGCCTAGGGGGAAAAATGTTTTCCCCATGCTGTGTGCAGCCTAGGGACTTGGTGCCCTGCAATTACAGCTGCTCCAGCTGTGGCTAAAAGGAGCAAATGTAGAACTCAGGCTGTGGCTTTGGAGGGTGCAAGCCCCAAGCCCTGGCAACTTCCATGTGGTGTTGAGCCTGCAAGTGCACATAAGTCAATAATTGGGGTTTGGGAACCTCTGTCTAGATTTCAGAGAATGTATGGAAATGACTGGATGCCCAGGCAGAAGTTTGTTGCAGGAATAGGGCCCTCAAAGAGAACCTCTGCTAGGGCAGTGCAGAAGGGAAATGTGGGGTCAGAGCCCCCACACAGATTCTCTACTGGGGCATCACCTAGTGGAGCTGTGAGAATAGGGCCACTGTCCTTCAGGTCCTAGAATGGTAAATCCACTGACAGCTTGCATTGTGCACCTGGAAAAGCCTCAGACACTCAATGCCAGTCTGTGAAAGCACCTGGGAGGGAGGCTGTACCCTTCAAAGCCACAGGGCCAGAGCTGCCCAAGACCATGGGAACCCACCTCTTGCATCAGTGTGACATGGATGAGGGACATGGAGTCAAAAGTGATTGTTATGGAGCTTTAAGATTTGACTGCCCTGCTGGATTTTGGACTTGCACGGGGCCTGTAGCCCCTTTGCTTTGGTCATTTTTTCCCATTTGTAATGGATGTATTTACTCAATGCCTGTACCACCACTGTATCTAGGAAGTAACTAACTTGCTTTTGATTTTACAGGCTCACAGGCAGAAGGGACTTGCCTTGTCTTGGATGAGACTTTGAACTGTGGACTTTTGAGTTAATGCTGAAATGAGTTAAGAGTTTGGAGGACTGTTGGGAAGGCATGAGTAGTTTTGAAATGTGAGGACATGAGATTTGGGAGTGGTCAGGGGTAGAATGATATGGTTTGGCTGTGTCCCCACTCAAATCTCATCTTGAATTGTAGCTTCCATGATTCCTACATGTTGTGGGAGGGACCCGGTGGGAGATAATTGAATCATGGGGGCCTTCCCTACCTGCCTCACCTAAGATATTGTTTGCAAAAGCCATTTTGTTAATTTCCAACGCGCTGTAATTCATACGAAAAGTGACAGTCTATAGTTATAACAGGTGAATGTGCAATAATCTGTCTTGGAAAATTACAGACAGGAAGATAAATAGTCTAAGTAACTGAAAACCCAGCTTAGAGTTAGCACATCTGTGAATACATGTGCAGTGCAGTTTCCCTCATACTGTTCTTTTGCTAGTGAATACGTCTCATGATCTGATGGTTTTATAAGAGGAAACCTATTTTGCTTGGCTCTCTGTTTCTCTCTTGCTGCTACCGTGTAAGAAGTGCCTTTTGGCTTCCACGATGATTGTGAAGCCTCCCCAGCCACGTGGAACTGTGAGTCCATTAAACATCTTTTTCTTCCCAGTCTCAGGTATGTCTTTATCAGCAGCATGAATATAGACTAATACAATGGATTGGAGACTTAAATGTTTAACCCAAAACTATAAAAAACCCTCACCAGACTAAGAATAAAAGAAAACTACCTCACCCTGATGAAGGTAGTATATGGAAAACCAAGAGCTACTATCATACTTAATGTAAAGTATTTCCTGTAAGAACAAGAACCACATTTACCACTTTATTTGACAATTAGAAATTTTAAACCAGAGCAATTAGGCTAAAAAGAGAAATAAAAGTCAGGCAAATTGGAAAGTAAGAGATTAAGAAAGACATCAATAAAGGGAAAGATAGCTTTTGCTTATGGAGCGGAAGCCTTAATATTGTTAAGATATCAACACACTCAGTTGGGTGTGTTGGCTCACGCCTGTAATCCTAGCACTTTGGGAGGCTGAGGTGGTCAGATTGCTTGAGTCCAGGCATTTGAGATCAGCCAGGGCAACATGGCAAAACCTTGTGCCTACAAAAATTACAAAAAATTTTGCCGAGTGTGGTGGCACATGCCTGTAGCCTCAACTACTAAGGAGGCTGAGGTAGGAGGATTACATGAACTTGGGGAGCATGCAGTGAACCATGATGGCACCACTGCATTCCAGCCTTGGTGACAGATGGAGACCCTGTCATTAAAAAAAATATATCAATACACAATGTGATCTACAGATTCAATGCAATTTCTATCAAAACTCCAATGGCATTTTTGGCAGAAATAGAAAAATTCATCCTAACTCCATATAGAATCTCAAGAGACCCAAAGTAGCAAAAACAATCTAGAAAATGAACAAAGTTGGAGGTTTACTGCTTCCCTGATTAAGAAGTTTAGTATACTAGCTACACTAATCAACACAGTGAGGTACTGGCATAAAGACAGACATAAAGACCAATGGAACACAGTACAGAGCCCAGAAATAAACCCTTACATATATGGTCAAAAAAATTTTGACAATGGTGCTGAGGCCACTGAATGGGGAAAGGAGAGTCTTTTCAACACATGCTAATGGGAAAACTGGATATCCACATGCAAAAGAATAAAGTTGAATCTTTACTCAATAAAGAACAAATAAACTAATGGGTCAAAGGCCTGAAGGTAAGAGGTACAGTTATAAAATTCTAGGTATAAAATATAAATAAAAAGCTTGATGAACTTGTATTTGACAATCATTTCTTGGATAAAACACCAAAAGAACAGTCAACAAGAAAAAATATATAAATTGAACTTCATCAAAATTAAAAATATTTGTGCATCAGAAGACATTATCAACACAGTGACCAGGAAATCTATGAAACAGGAGAGACTATTTGCAAATCATACATATGATAAGGGACTAATTTCCAGAATATGTACGGAACTACTATAATAATGATATTCAGCCTTAAAAAGGAAATGAAATTCTGACACATATTATTACATAAACCTTGAAGAGTTATGCTAATTGAGATATGACAATCATAAAATAATAACTATTTATGATTCCACTTTTATGAGGTAACTAGAATAGTCAAATTCATAGAAACAAAAAGTAGAACAGTGGTTACCAGTGGCTGCGGAGAGGTAAAAATGTACAGTTATTGTTTAATAAATACAGAGTTTCAATCTGAGCAGATGAAAAATGTTGTAGAGATGGTTGGTAGTGATATTTGCAAAACAGTGTGTATATGTCACTAAACTGTACACTTAAAATATTTAAAATAAAATATCCTTATTATGTATAATTTGCCACAAAAATTAGCACTATTAAGAGGTGATTGTTTATTGCTTATGCTAACTGTAGAGAGAACTAATGTGGTTTTCTTCAGTGTCACATATATTTGAATCTAGTACATTATAGTATTATAGTGTATTACAATCAAATATGTATCATCTGAGGCAGTGATTGACCATGTTTATGGTTTGTATAATCTTAAAAAAATAAGTTGCATCTCTTAATAACTGATTTTAGAAAAGGCATTCCAGTTATACACTGAGTGCTAGAGAGCCAGTCATTGAGAATAAAGTTTTTAAAGTGCTACAGATCAGAATTCCCTATAAGAAACTATTAGCTTTAATTATCAATTATGTGTCAGTGGTACATTTATCAGAAAAAAAATAATATTCATCCTTTTTCTTTAGACTCTTCTGCCTAAATTCTATCCTTTATGTCATTGTTTGACCAATTTCTTCCAAGTTGCTTTTTTCATGATATTCCAGCTCTTCTCAGTTTAATTTTCCCTCTGCCTAAAAGATAAAATCTCAAAACGTCTACCTTGGCATTAAGGGACATCAGACACTGTGGTCCTTAATTCTGTTCTGAGTTGCACTTCCAACTGAACTGAGTTGCCTATTTCCACCCAAAGTGTCTGTTCTAACTGAAAAAGCTGTCTCCTTCTTTGCTTCAATGGTTTTGATTGTGATTTTTTTCTCCTAAATTTGTATGCCTGCAAAATACAAATTCTACCCATTCTATAAATTTTCCTTGAGGATGCCATTCCACAATTATGTCTGTTTCCAAAATTATGCTCACCTTACTGTAAATTTGTCATTTGGTCTTAGGTTAATATTATTTAACTATTTCATGTATGTATACAGTTTTTCTGTCTTGAAAGGGAATGTAAATGGTGTAACTACACAGTCATAACATTTATTTTAACCAAGATACACACTAGTCATACAAGTGAGTGTCTCCCATTCAATGAAATTACCTTTGGGAAACAAAATACTTATTGCAATAGAGTCATTGCAATAAATACTTCTGTATATTAATAAAATACAGAATTATATTATTAATTTCTGTATAATAATTCTTTCTGTATATTTTGTGATGGTAAGTCATCATCTCTTTACAGATTAATTTCATTTGATTTTAAAACCAATAAATTTATTTTTATGTTGTTAATGCTATTTTTGAAATTTCTATTGGTGTTTAATGAACAGGTGGTATTTAGTTGCATGAATAATTTCTTTAGTGGTTATTTCTGAGATTTTGGTGCACCCATCACCAAATGTGTAGACTTTATCCCTCACCCTACTCCCACCCTTTCCTCTGAGTCCCCAAAGTTCATTGTATCATTCTTATGCCTTTGCATCCTCATAGTTTAGCTCCCACTTATGAGAGTATATAATGTTTGGTTTTCCATTTCTGAGTTACTTCACTTAGAATAATGGTCTCCAATTCCATCCATGTTGCTGTGAATGCCATTATTTCATTCCTTTTTATGTCTGAGTAGTATTCCATATATCCCATTTTCTTTATCCACTCGTTGATTGATAATTGACAGGCATTTGGCTGGTTCCATATTTTTGCAATTGCAAATTGTTCTGCTATAAACATGTGTGTGCAGGTATCTTTTTTGTATAATTACTTCTTTTCCTCTCGATAGATACCCAGGAGTGGGATTGCTGTTTCAAATGGTATATCTACTTTTAGTTCCTTAAGGAATCTCCACACTGTTTTCCATAGTGGTTGTACTAGTTTACATTCCCACCAATAGTGTAAAGTGTTCCCATTTTACCACATCCATGCCAACATTTATTGTGTTTTGATTTTTTGATTATGGCCATTCTTGCAGGAGTGAGGTAGTATTGCATTGTGCTTTTGATTTGCATTTCCCTGATCATTAGTGACGTTGAACATTTTTAAAATATGTTTGTTGGCCATATGTATATCTTCTTTTGAGAGTTGTCTATTCATGTCCTTAGCCCACTTCTTAATGGAATTGTTTGTTTTGTTCTTGCTAATTTGTTTGAGTTCCTTGTGGATTCTGTCCTTTGTTAGATGTAGATTGTAAAGATTTTCTCCCCCTCTGTAGGATATCTTTTTACTCTGCTGATTATTTCTTCTGCTGTGCAGAAGCTTTTTAGTTAAGTCCCATCTATTTATCTCTGTTTTTGTTGCATTTGCTTTTGGGTTCTTGGTCATGAAGTCTTTGCCTAAGCTAATGTCTAGAAGGGTTTTTGCAATGTACCATCTAGAAATTTTATGGTTTCAGGCTTTAGATTTAAGTATTTGATTTGATCCATCTTGACTTGATTTTTCTATAGGGTTAGAGATGAGGATCCAGTTTCATTCTTCTATATGTGGCTTGCCAATTATCCCAGCACCATTTGTTGAATACAGTGTCCTTTCCCCACTTTATGTTTTTCTTTGCTTTGTCAAAGATCAGTTGACTGTAAGTATTTGCCTTTATTTCTGGGTTCTCTATTCTGTTCCAGTCATCTATATGCCTAGTTTTATACCAGTACCATTTTGTTTTGGAGAGTATGGCCTTATAGTATAGTTTGAAGTTGTGTAATGTAATGCCTCTAGATTTGTTCATTTTGCTTAGTCTTGCTTTGGCTAGGCAGGCTCTTTTTTGGTTTCATAGGAATTTTAGAATTGTTTTTTCTAATTCTGTGAAGAATGCTGGTGGTATTATAAAGGCAAATGCATTGAATCTGTAGACTGCTTTTGGCAGTATGGTCATGATCACAATACTGATTCTACCCATCATGAGCATGGGATGTAGTTCCATTTGTTTGTGTCATCTATGTTTTCTTTCAGTAGTGTTTTGTAGTTTTCATTGTAGAGGTCTTTCACCTCCTTGGTTAAGTGTATTCCTAAGTTTTTGTTGTTGTTGTTGTTGCAGCTATTGTAAAAGGGGTTGAGTTCTTGATTTGATTCTCAGCTTGGTCACTGTTTTTGTATAGCAGAGCTACAGATTTGTGTATATTAATTTTTTTCCATAAATTATTGGAGTACAAGTGGTATTTCGTTACATGAGTAAGTTCTTTAGTGGTGATTTGTGAGATTCTGTTGCACCCATCACCCAAGTAGTATACACTGCACCATATTTGTAGTCTTTTATCCCTGGCTACCTCCTACTCTTCCCTTGCCCAGTCCCCAAAGTCCATTGTATCATTCTTGTGCCTTTGTGTCCTCATAGTTTAGCTCCCACATATCAGCGAGAACATACAATGTTTGGTTTTCCATTCCTGAGTTACTTTACTTAGAATAATAGTCTCCAATCTCATCCAGGTTGCTGCAAATGCTGTTAATTGATTCCTTTTTATGGCTGCATAGTATTCCATTGTGTATATATACCATAGTTTCTTTATCCACTTGTTGATTGATGGGTATCTGGGTTGGTTCCACAGTTTTGCAAGTGTGAATTGTGCTGCTATAAACATACATGTGCAAGTATCTTTTATGAATAATAACTTCATTTCCTCTGGGTAGATGCCCAGTAGTAGGATTGCTGGGTCAAATGGTAGTTCTACTTTTAGTTCTTTAAGGAATCTTCAAACTCTTTTTCATAGTGGCTATATTAGTTTACATTCCCACCAGCAGTGTAGAAGTGTTCCCTGTTCACCGCGATCACACTGGCATCTACCGTTTTTTGATTTTTTGATTATGACCATTCTTGCAGGACTAAGGTGGTATTGCATTGTGGTTTTGATTTGCATTTCCCTGATCATTAGTAATGTTGAGCATTTTTCACATGTTTATTGGCCATTTGTATATCTTCTTTTGAGAATTGTTTATTCATTTCCTTAGCCCACTTTTTGATGGGATTGTTTGTTTATTTCTTACTGATTTGTTTGAGTTCATTGTAGATTCTGGATATTAGTCCTTTGTCAGATGTACGGATCGTGAAGATTTTCTCCCACACTGTGGGTTGTCTGTTTACTCTGCTGACTGTTCCTTTTGTCGTGAAGAAGCTCTTTAGTTTAATTAGGTCCCACCTATTTAGCTTTGTTTTTATTGCATGTGCTTTTGGGCTCTTGGTCATGACATCCTTGCCTAAACCAATGTCTAGAAGGGTTTTTCCAATGTTATCTTTTAGAATTTTTATAGTTTCAGGTCTTAAGTTTAAGACCTTAATCCATCCCAAGTTGATTTTGTATAAGGTGGGAGATGAGAATCCAGTTTAATTCTCCTATATGTGGCTAGCCTATAATCCCAGCATGATTTGCTGAAAACAGTGTTCTTTTCCCACTTTATGTTTTTGTTTGCTTTGTCAAAGATCAGTTGGCTGCATTTGAGTTTATTTCTGGGTTCTCTATTCTGTTCCACTGGTCTATGTGCCTATTTTTACACCAGTACCATGATGTTTTGGTGACTATGGCTTTATAGACTGGTTTGAAATCAGGCTGTGAGATGCCTCCATATTTGTTCTTGTCCTTAGTCTTGCTTTGGCTATGAGGGCTCTTTTTTGGTTCCATATGAATTTTAGAATTGTTTTTTCTAATTCTGTGAAGAATAATGGTGCTATTTTGGTGGGGACTGCGTTGAATTTGTAGACTGCTTTTGGCAGTGTGGACATTTTCACAATATTGATTCTACCCATCCATGAGCATGGGATGTGTTTCCATTTCTTGGTGTCATCTATGGTTTCTTTCAGCAGTATTTTGTAGTTTTCCTTGTAGAGGTCTTTTGACCCCTTGATTATGTATATTCCTAAGTATTTTATTTTATTTTTTTGCAGCTATTGTAATAGGGGTTGAGTTCTAGATTTGATTCTCTGCTTAGTTGCTGTTGGTGTATAGAAGAGCTACTGGTTTGTGTACATTAATCTTATATCCAGAAACTTTGCTGAATTCTTTTATCAGTTCTAGGAGCTTTCTTGAGGAGTCTTTAGGGTTTTCAATGTGAACGATCATATCATCAGCAAACAGTGAGAGTTTGACTTCCTTTTTACTGATTTGGATGCCCTTTATTCCTTTCTCTTGTCTGATTGCTCTGGCTATGACTTCCAGTACCATGTTGAAGAGGAGTGCAGACAGTGGGCAGCCTTGTCTTGTTCCAGTTCTCAGAGGGAATGTTTTCAACTTTTCCACATTCAGTATTGTGTTGGCTGTGGGTTTGTCATAGATGGTTTTTATTACATTAAGGTATGTCCCTTGTATGCTGATTCTGCTGAGAATTTTAATCATAAAGGTTGCTGGATTTCGTCAAATGCTTTTTCTGCATCTTTTGATGTGATTATGTGATTTTTTAAAAATTATTTTTATGAGTTGTACCACATTTATTGATTTGTGGATGTTAAACAATCACTGCATCCCTGGTATAAAACTAACTTGATCATGGTGTATTATCTTTTTGACATGCTGTTGGATTCTGTTAACTAGTACTGTGTTGAGAATTTTTGCATCTATGTTCATCATGGATATTGTGCTTTAGTTTTCTTTTTTGGTTATGTCTTTTCCTGGTTTTGGTATTAATGCTGGCTTCATAGAATGAATTAGGGAGGGTTCCTTCTTTTTCTGTCTTGTGGAATAGTGTCAAAAGAATTGGTATCAATTTTCCTTTGAATGTCTAGTAGAATTCCACTGTGAATCTGTCTGGTCCTGGACTTTTTTTTTGTTGGTAATTTTTCTAGTTACCATTTCAATCTTGCTGCTTGTTATTGGTCTGTTCAAGGTATCTAATTCTTTCTGATTTAAGCTAGGGGAGTTGTATTTTTCCAGAGATTTAGCCATCTCTTCTAGGTTTTTTAGTTTATGTGAGGGAAGGTGTTCATAGTACCCTCGGAGGATCTTTGGTATGTCAGTTGTAATATCTCTTGCAATTCTTAGTGAGGTTATTTGGATTTTCTCTCTTCTTTTCTTGGTTAATCTTGCTAATGGTCTATCAGTTTTATTTATCTTAGCACCAGCTTTTTGTTTCATTTATCTTTTGTATTTTTTTGGTTTCAATTTCATTTAGTTCTGCTCTGATCTTTTTGTGATAAAATTTCCAGGTGTTTTTGTGCTTCTTGTATTTGGATGTCTAGGTCTCTAGCAAGACCAGGGAAGCTTTCCTCAATTATTCACCCAAATATGTTTTCTAAGCTTTTAGAATTCTCTTCCTCAGGAACACCTATTATTGTTAGGTTTGGTTGTTTAACATAACGCCAGACTTCTTGGAGGCTTTGTTCATATTTTCTTATTCTTTTTTCTTTGTCTTTGTAAGATTGGATTAATTAAAAAACCTTGTCTTTGAGCTCTACATTTCTTTCTTTTACTTGCTCAATTACATTCTGAGACTTTCCAGGGCATTTCACATTTCTGAAAGTGTGTCCAAAGTTTCCTGGATTTTTGATTGTTTTTTTCTTTAAGCTGTCTATTTCCTTGAACATTTCTCCCTTCACTTCTTGTATCATTTTTTGGATTTCCTTGCATTGGGCTTCGCCTTTTTCTGGTCCCTCCCTGATTAGCTTAATAACTAACCTCCTGAATTCTTTTTCAGATAAATCATGAATTTCTTCTTGGTTTGGATCCACTGCTGGTGAACTAGTGTGATTCTTTAGGGGGGTGTTGAAGAGCCTTGTTTTGTCATATTACTAGGCAGGGTTGGTTTTCTGGTTCCTTCTCATTTGGGTAGGCTCTGTCAGAGGGAAGGTCTGGGGCTGAAGACTGTTTTTTCAGATTTCTTTTGTCCCACAGGATGTTCCCTTGCTGTAGTGCTATCCCCCTTTTCTTATGGATGTGGCTTCCTGTGAGCTTAACTGCAGTGATTGTTGTCTCTATTCTGGGTCTAGCCACCCAGCAAGTCTATCTGAATCCAGGCTGGTACTGGGGGGTGTCTGCACAGAGTCCTGGGATGTGAACCATCTATGCGTCTCTCAACATGGATACCAGTGCCTCTTCCAGTGGAGGTGGCAGGGGGTGCAATGGAGTCTGTGAGGATTCTTAGCTTTGGTGGTTTAATGCTTCATTTTTGTTCTGGGTGGCCTCCTGCCAGGAGGTGGCACTTTCCAGAAAGCATCAGCTATGGTAGTATGGAGAGGGACTGGCCGTGGGTGGGGCCCTAAAACTCCCAAGATTATATGCCCTTTGTCTTCTGCTACCAGGGTAAATAGGAAAGGGCCATCAGGTGGGGGTGGGGCTAGGCATGTCTGAGCTCAGACATTCCTTGGGTGGGTCTTGCTGCAGCTGCTGTGGGAGATTGGGGTGAGATTCCCGGGTCACCGGAGCTGTGTACCTAGGAGGATTATGGCTGCCTCTGCTGAGTCATGCAGGTTGTCAGGGAAGTGGGGGAAAGCCAGCAGTCACAGGTCTCACCCAGCTCCCGTGCAAACCAAAGAGCTGATCTCACTCCCACTATGCTTCTCCCCAACAGCCCCAAGTCTGTTTCCAGGTAGAGGACGAGACGGGCTTGAAAACTTGCCCCAGGATACCTGCTTCCAAGCTGCAAAAGAAAAGGGCTTGGTTCTTCCCCCACCTGTGGAGTCTGCACACCAGATTTGTGCCCTCCCCCGATTTCTGGCCAGGAGGCTTCTCACAATGTTCAAATTGTTACAAAGTTCAGCTAAAGATTTCCTCCTCCCTGTGGAGTTTTACTCCCTGCTTCTCTGGCCAGCCTCCAAATGTATCCCTGTGGTACCAGGCAGGAATGGCCTGCTAGGGGACCCAGCAAGCTCACAGGGACTTTCTGCTGCTTCCTCTACCCCTGTATTTCACTCGGCCCTCTAAATTGCCTCAGCTCCAGGTAAAGTTGGAAACTTCTCCTGCAAACAGACCTTCAGCTTCTCCAGTGGGTGTGTTTGGGAGAGGAGGCTCTCCCTTTCACACTTCTGCAGTTGGGCCACTCACAGAACTTGGGGTGTCTCCTGGGTCCTGCAGGAGCAGTTAGTTTTCTTCAGATGGTCTGTGGGTCCTCTCAGGATTGCTGGTTTGTTCTTGCAGTCCATCTGGAGCTAAAATTCACAATGCGAGCCTCTGCATGCTGCTCTGTCTGTAGCTGCAATCTTCTCCTGCCTCACGTCCACCATGATGATTCCAATTCTGATTTGTGTACATTAATTTTGTAACCTGAAACTTTGCTGAATTCATTTACCAGTTCTAGGAGCTTTCTGGATGAGTCTTTAGGGTTTTCTAGGTATACAATCATGTCATCAGCAAACAGTGACAGTTTGACTTCCTTATTACCAATTTGGATGCCCTTTATTTCTTTATCTTGTCCGACTGCTCTGGCTAGGACTTCCAATACTATGTTGAATAGAAGTTGTGAAAGTGGGCATCATTGTCTTCTTCCAGTTCTCAGGGAGAATGTTTTCAACTTTTCCCTGTTCAGTATTATGTTGGCTGTGGGTTTGTCATAGATGGCTTTCATTACCTTAAGGTAAGCCCCTTCTATGCTGATTTTGCTGAGGGTTTTAATGATAAAGGGATGCTGGACTTTGTCAAAGGGTTTTACTGCATTTATTGAGATGATTATGTGATTTTTTAAAAAAATATTTTTATGAGGCATATCACATTTATTGACTTGTGGATGTTAAACAATCCCTGCGTCCCTGGTATAAAACTAACTTGATCATGGTGTATTATCTTTTTGACATGTTGTTGGATTCTGTTAACTAGTATTGTGTTGAGAATTTTTGCATCTATGTTCATCATGGATATTGGGCTGTAGTTTTCTTTTTTGTTATGTCCTTTCCTGGTTTTGGTATCAGGATGATACTGGCTTCACAGAATGATTTACGGAGGATTCCCTTTTTCTCTATCTTTTGGAATAGTTTTAGTATCATTGGTACCAATTCTTCTTTGAATGTCACATAAAATTCACCTGTGATTTCATCTGGACCTAGACTTTTTTTGTTGGTAACTTTTTAGTTACTGTTTCAATCTTGCTTCTTATTATTGGTCTGTTCAGAGTTTCTATTTCTTCCTAGTTTAATCTAGGATGGTTGTATATTTCTAGGAATTTATCCATCACCTCTAGGTTTTCTAGTTTGTGTATGTAAAGGTGTTCCTAGTAGCCTTGAATGATCTTTTGTGTTTCTGAGATATTGGTTGTAATATCTCCCATTTCATTTCTAATTGGGCTTATTTGAATCTTCTCCTTTTTTTCTTGGTTAATTTTGCTAATGGTCTATTCATTTGGTTTATTTTTTTCAAAGAACCAGCTGTGTGTTTTCTCTTTTGTATTTTTTTGTTGTTGTTGTTTCAATTTCATTTAGTTCTGGTCTTTCTTTTCTTCTGCTGGGTTTGTTTGTTGTTTTTTCTCTAGTTCCTTGACGTGTAACCCTAGATTGTCTATTTGTGCTCTTTCAGACTTTTTGATGTAGGCATTCAATGCTATGAACTTTCCTCTTAGAACCACTTTTCTGTTTCCTAGAGGTTTGGAGAGGTTATATTATTATTATTGTTCAGTTCAAATAATTTTTTATTTCAATCTTGATTTCACTGTGACCCAATGATCATTCAGAAGCATGTTATTTAAATTCCATGTACTTGCATGGTTTTGAGGGTTTCTTCTAGAGTTGATTTCCAATTTTATTAGACTGTGGTCTGACAGAGTACTTGATAAAATTTCAATTTTCTTAAATTTACTGAGACTTGTTTTGTGGCTTTTACTGAGACTTGTTTTGTCATATGGTCTATCTTGGAGAATGTTCCATGTGCTGATGAATACAGTGCATATTCTGCAGTTGTTAGGTAGAATGTTCTGTAAATATCTAAGTCCATTAGTTCTGGGGTATAGTTTAAGTTCATTGGTTCGTGTTGACTTTCTATCTTGATGACCTGTCTAGTGCTGTGAATGGAGTACTGAAGTCCCCCACTATTATTGTGTTGCTGTCTATCTTATGTCTTAGGTCTGGTAGTAATTGTTTTATGAATTTGGGAGCTCCAGTGTTAGGTGCATATATATTTAGGATTGTGATATTTTCCTGTTGGACTAGTTCTTTTATCATTACATAAGGTCCCTCTTTGTCTTTTTTAACTGTTGTTGCTTTAAAGTTTGTTTTGTCTGATATAAGAATAGCTATTCCTGCTCATTTTTTTGTGTCCATTTTCACGGACTATCTTTTTTCCACTCCTTTACCTTAAGTTTATTTGAGTCCTTATTTGTCAGGTGAGTCTCTTGAAGACAGCAGATATTAATTAGTGAGTTCTTATCAATTTTGCCATTCTACATCTTTTAAGTGGAGCATTTAGGCCATTTTACATTCACCGTTACTATTGAGATGTGAGGTACTATTCTATACATTGTGCTATTAATTGCCTGAATACCTTGGTATTTTTTTCACTGTTATTGTTTTATATGTCCTGTGAGATGTATACTTTAAGGAGACTCTATTTTTCTGTATTGTGAGGATTTCTTTCATGATTTAGAGCTCCTTTTAGCAGTTCTTGTAGGGCTGGCTTCATAGTGGCAAATTCTCTCAGCATTTGTTTGTCTAAAAAAGACTCTATCTTTCCTTCATTTATGAAGCTTAGTTTCACTGGATACAAAATTCTTGACTAATTGTTTTGTTTAAGGAGGCTAAAGATAAGGCCTCAATCCCCTCTAGCTTGTAGAGTTTCTACTAAAATATCTGCTCTTACTCTCACAGGTTTTCCTTTTTAGGTTACCTGGTGCTTTTCCCTCACAGTTCTTAAGATTATTTCCTTTGTTTTGACTTTAGATAACCAAATGAATATGTGCCTAGGCGATGATTTTTTTGTGATAAATTTCCCAGATGTTCTTTGAGCTTCTTGTGTATGGCTGTCTAGATCTCTAGCAAGGCCAGGGAAGTTTTCCTTGATTATCCCCTCAAATATGTTTTCCAAACTTTTAGATTTCTCTTCTTTGGGAACACAAACTAATCATCTGTTTTGTCATTTAACATAATCCCAATCTTCTTGAAGGCTTTGTTCATTTTTTTAAAATAATTTTTTTCTTTATCTTTGTCGGATTGGGTTAATTTGATACACTTGTCTTCAAGCTCTGACATTCTTTCTTCTACTTGTTTGATTCTATTGCTGAGACTTTCCAGTGCATTTTGCAATTCTGTAAATGTGTCCTTCACTTCCAGAAGTTGTAATTGTTTTTTATGTTTTCTATTTTATGTATGTGTGTATTTATTTATTTATTTTTTCAATGGAGTCTCGCTCTGTTGCCCAGGCTGGAGTGCAGTGGCATGATCTCAGCTCACTTCAACCTCTGCCTCCCAGGTTCAAGTGATTCTCTTGCTTCAGACTCCTGAGTGGCTGACATTGAAGGCAACTGCCACTGTGCCAGGTTGATTTTTGTATTTTTAGTACAGAAAGGGTTTTGCCATGTTGGCCAGGCTGGTCTCAAACTCCTGATCTCAGATGATCCTCCAACTTTGACCTTCCAAAGTGCTGGGATTATAGTTATGAGCCACCATGCCTAGCCTGTGACTGCTTTTTATTTATGCTATCTATTTCACTGGAGAATTTTCCATTCATATTCTACATGATTTTATTTATTTATTTATTTATTTGATGTGTTTAAGTTGGACTTCACCATTCTCCCGTACCTCCTTGATTGGCTTAATAGTTGACCTTCTGAATTCTTTTTCTGGCAATTCAGATACATCATCTTGGTTTGGATCCATTGCTGGTGAGCTACTGCGATCTTTTGGGGATGTCAAAAAACCTCATTTTGTCATACTACCAGAATTGTTTTTCTGGTTCCTTCTCATTTGGGTAGACTATGTCAGAGGGAAGATCTGGAACTCAAGGGCTGCTGTTCAGATTCTTTTGTCCTATGGGGGTGATCCCTTGATGTGGTGCTCTCCCCTTTCCCCTAGGGATGGGGCTTCCTGAGCACCAAACTGCAGTGATTGCTATTTCTGTTCTGGATCTAGCCACCCAGCAGAGCTACTGGGGTGGGGAGTGTCTGCCATGAGTCCTGTGATGTGATCCATCTTCAGGTCTCTCAGCCATGGATACTAGCACCTACTCTCGTGGAGGTGGCTGGGGAGTGAAGTATGCTCTGAGGGTCCTTGGTTGTATTTTTGTTTAGTATGCTGGTTTTGTGTTGGTTGGCCTCCAGCTAGGAGGTGGCACATTCAAGAGCCCATCAGTTCCGTTTGTATAGGAAGGATACAACTTTGCCTTAGGCTTAGGCAGTGGGCAGGGCCATAGAGCTATCAAGAAATTATGAGCTTTGTGTTTGGCTACCAGCGCATAAAGAGAAAGACCATCAGGTGGGGGCAGGGTTAGGCATGTCTGAGCTCAGACTCTCCTTGGGTGGGGCTTGCTGCAGCTGCTGTGGGGGATGGGGTGTGGTTTTCAGGCCAATGGAGTTATGTTCCCAGGGGGATTATGGCTAGCTCTGCTTTGTCACATAGGCCACCGGGAAAGTGGGGGAAAGCTGGCAGCCACAGGCCTCACCCAGCTCCCATGCAGCCTGCAGCCAGAAAGGCTGGTCTCACTCCCACTGCACCCTCGCTCAACAGAACCTAGCTTATTTCAAGGCAGCCAGTGAGCAGGGCTGAGAACCTACCCCAGGCCATAAGACTCCCAGCTGAGAAAGCAAGCAGGCTCACATTGCTACGGCTATCCCTGCGCAGCAATCCACCTCCCTCAGAGGGTCTGTGGATTCTCTTGACTTTCCTGTTATGTTCCTGCGGTAGTTCTTAGAGCAAAAGTTCACGATATGGTTCTCCACACACTGCTCTGTCTATATGAGTGGGAGCTGCAAGTTATTCCTGGCTCCTATCTGCCATTTTTTCCCCAATCTCAGTAAACTTATTTTGATTTGAGTCTCCTGAATTGGTTGAGTGATGTAGCTTGGCATAAAATTTATTTGTTTACCACTTTGTCTTATTATTTTATAGTGTGACTATTTAACAATAAGATGACATATTCTTTTTACATATTCTATGCTGAATCTGAAATGTATACGGAATATTTAAAAAATATATTTTTAGTCTAAGAGAAAGTGTACAATTGTACAGAAGATAAATCCACTACAAGGATTAGCATTTATTGGAAGACTACTTTCTGGTTGTTTAAAAATGTAATTAAACACTGTCCATTAAAAATAAAAATAAAAAATTAAAATTAAAATTAGCTAAGATCCCATATTTGAAAGAGCCTAGAACAGGAGGGGACTAGAGTCTTAGAGGATCTCAGCTGGGAAAGGACTTGTTCTCCCTAGATTCCCGTTGTACTATTTAATTTTCTTACAGTGGGCATAGAACTAAACTGATTTCCATTTAAAAGAAAAAAAATCTTTCTATTTCTAAAAAATTAAATAACCAAATAATTACATACAGAAGGAAATAGAAAAAACTTACCGTTCCACACAGTCAGAAAGCCTGGAGCAATGGTTGGAAGCAGGGGCATCATGCCCCCCTACAACATATAAGAATCCATTGTATGTGGCAACTCCCACACCTCCACGTCTTTTGGACATTGGAGCACACAAACTCCACTTGTTAGTGTGTGGGTCAAAGTATTCCATTGATTTGAGGCAGGAACTTCCATCACGTCCACCAATAGCATATAATCTAGATAAAAAGACAGAATTGTGTGTATGTATATGTGTGTGTATACATATACACACAAAATGCATGCATAGAATGAGAGTGAGAGAACTTTGTACAAAGCTTTTCAAGTTTCTGAAGGGTCTGACTATATATTCTACTCCTACACTATTATGCAGTGAATAGCAGAAGTTTGTGAATAGATCGTAACCTGAGGGCACCTGTTAAAATCTATCCCAACCCAAATCTCCCTTTTTCACTATCTTTATCACAGTCATTTTAACATAATTGAATAAAAGATTCCATGGGATATGAGGCACAGAAAAAAAGAGGGAAAGATCAAAGGGATTGGCAGGATAGTTCCAAAGACCAACTCCAACAACTTTACAATTTTAGCAGGGTTAAACTACCTAGGAGCAGAATCCATTGTTTTTATGTATGACTTTATATTTGCATTAAAAAATTATCACTTAGAAGACATTAGCTTAATAAACAACTAAGGAAAGAGGATAGAACCTAGAAACTAGATTTTTTTCCCTCGTAAGTGATATTGGCTATGACATTTCTCCCATACATTTTAAAATGCCATTCTTTTGATAAGTAGTATTTTTAATATAATTTTAAAGTTATCATGTATTAATAAAGAAGACAGACATTTATTAATCCATATTCCTATAACTTCCCTTCATGCTGAGTTGTAAACAATAGCAACTCAGCAAAGCACAATTAAATAGGTCAAATTTCATGTTTTCATCCTGTTCTGTATTAGGTAGGAGATTACATAACTGAATCACTTGACATTATTCAGGTGAGGCCACGGATAGATTTAGGAGTAGCTTAAGCTCTAAGACACTTTAAAACTGGATCTCCTCTTAACTCTGGACATTTCCTATTTATTTCTGTGCAAGGTTCTAAAAACAATGCGTTGACATTTTGACTGAGACCATATCTATGATAATGTATTGGCTTCATGCATAGTCAATATAAACACACAAGGCTGTCTCTGGCAACTGACCCAACCTATTGTCTAAAACTCGCATGATTCATGACCCTCTTATATGCTGGTCATTGTCTCCAAAGTTCCCTTGTCAGAAAGCACATAATACCTGGTAACAATTCAAGCTCTTAGAAACTTCTAACATCATCATGTTTTAGTATAATATCTCGGAAGTGATAGGCAAGTGACAGGAAGAGGTAAATATTCAGGAAGGGTGAGACTAGGTAGGATTCTATATTTAGGAACCCTGAACACTCAGGAGAGGGATTGTTGAAAGAATAAAAGAATCACCTTGTTATATCCATAGACAGACTAAAGTTTTGATAAAAATAAATCATAATGTAAAAAAGTAGTAACTTCTTGAGGGTAAAATTAGAACTGGCTTGCCTATAAAAGCTGGGTCGGGGCTAGGATTCAGCATTTCTAAATACGAAAGGTGGATGCTGCTGGTCCCAGGACCACACCTTGATTAGCAAGGGCATACAGAATATTTAATCAAGTATTTATTTTAGACAAGTATTTTCAGTCCTAATGGAGAGTTCCAATGAAGACCTTTTATTATTGATAACAAGTACATCCAGGTTATTTGGAATGCTAATTGATTGGATGGATCATGTCACCGAAGTTCTATACTATATGACCTGGGAGCAATGAACATGTGTGTTTCAACTTACTCACTTGTTGTTTAATGCAACAACACCAACTGTGCTTCTAGGAGTTGACATACTGGCTACGTAATTCCACTGTCGTCCCTCAGGGTCCCATCTTTCTACAGTATTTAGATAGCTCCATCCATCATGACCACCTACAGCATACATTGGTCCTTCAAGAGTGGCTACACCTAAAAAAATTAAAATAATATGTGGGTTCACCTAGGTATGCCACACACTGAATATTGTTTCATTTTGCAAGCAATTAACTGCTTAAATTTTTTTGTTTTGCTTATTAAACGATTTTGCATACATATGAATAGTTTACTGACTCTGTTGTAAAGCTAAGTATGGTTTTCTAACCCTGTGAAACTTTCAGTTTTAGTTACTATATCATAGAAGGGTACTATTGTTGTAACACTGAAGTCAAAAGAGGCAGTAGAATGCACCATTTAAATTACACTAGATATGTAATTTAAAAAGCTGGCTTTTTCTGGCAAAATTTCAATATTGTTTGTTGATATAACATGTAGATACAATGTGATGTTGATTCTTAGATAAACCTTAGAATTACAGGCTGACTGTAGTAGGTCTTTATAACCTCTGGTGTTTAATATAGGGATAAAAAGATTCCTGTGAGCTAACTTACAGACAGAGCTTTTTAATGTTTAGTTAGAAGTTTGTTTTTTCAAATATTATGAATAGCCCATTTCTGCTTCGCATCTGCTTTGATAATTTACATAATTGTTTTTTTCCCCACCTTCACTATCCCAATCAACCTCTCAGTGGTATATCATCATCACCTCTCCTACCTATTTGCTAATATCAATTATATTGAAAAATAAGCTTGCTCTGATTTCCCTGCAGGACCTTTCTAAGCTATGTCTAGGAATAACACTGACATAACTGAACTGAATAATTATATCGTGTATTATTTGGCAGAGTCAATTTATCAGGATAATTGGGGCAAGCAATACCATTCCTGGATCTGCTGCTTTTTAGCTCTATAAAAATCAGATTAAAAAAAAGGAAATTTTTCTGTTGTTCAGCCAACTCTTATGATATTGCAAAAATATGGAGCCTAGTATAAAGAACGAGGTATCCTGACAAATATTCAGGAGAATCAAAGTTCTCCACTGTGGGCACATGATTCATCTAACTAGAAACACAATCCCTCGCAATAGTCAAGTACTTTCCTCTCTAAATTGAGCTTAGAAGAAAGCTCCTTGCTGTAGTTGTATATTATTTTATAATAAATCCCTTTGAAATGTGGTTATCCTTTTTAGAATGAAACCCCTTTAAAATACTGGTGGAAGGGAATCAGGAGTAA
Source organism: Homo sapiens (assembly GCF_000001405.40). Classification (NCBI taxonomy): domain Eukaryota; kingdom Metazoa; phylum Chordata; class Mammalia; order Primates; family Hominidae; genus Homo; species Homo sapiens. The sequence continues at coordinate 87,632,609 of NC_000023.11, read as the reverse complement.
CCTGCAACAATAACAAATGTCTCACAGGCTTTTATCATTTCCTTAAGTTTTTCATCATTTTGGAGACATTTTCACTAAGGATTTGGCTAAATCCCAATAATGTGCTGCTAGATTTAATTTTTAAAAACTCTACTTACTATACATTCTTGAAAAATACATTACGTTAAGCTCTTACCTAAGCCGTGCCGATGTGTTGACATGGGAGGCATCACAGTCCAGATTTTGCCAACTGGATTAAAACATTCCACTGTATTCAAAGTTTTTAAACCGTCTCTTCCTCCCACGACATAGAGCTTATTATCAATAACTGCGACTCCAAATTGAAGCCTACGGCCATTCATGGTGCCAATATGTAGCCAACTGTTGGTCCTGAGGTCATATTTTTCAATAGTAGTAGTACCTGACAAAGGGATATTGAACAACGGTAAAATCTACTTCTATTGAAATTTTGAATTGGTATTATTCACATTATAATTATGTACCCATAACTTACAGCACAGTATCAGTGATTACAATTCAAATTAAGTAAGTAGCTCAGGTAATTCTACAACCTGGGAGACAAAGCAAAGGATAATCTTTTACCACTTCTGGACCCAAATAGAAGAGTCAAAATAAAATGTTTTATGTAATATGTTTGGTTTATACCCTTATAACACTGGCTTTGGCTATACTATTCTACTGGTAGTATCAACACAAGTGTCAAATGACATAATTTACAACAAAATACCTTGGATTCTATTATTGAATGTTTGCACATCTGTTACAGATTTAATTACTTATGACCATTCAACATACTAATTTATGCTTTTTAAATTTGTTTTGGGTGTGTGTGTTTATTTGTGTGTGTGTGTTTGTGTGTATGTGTGTGTGTGTTTATTTAAAAGACACGTAACTAAAGGACCAGGAATGAAAATTATTTTTAAACGGGCCTTTAGCTGTGTGTCGTGGCATGCACCTGTAGTCCCAGCTACTTGGGAGGCTGAGGTCGGAAGACCACTTCAGCCCAGGAGGCGGAGGCTGCAGTGGGCCAAGATCACACCAGCCTGGGTGACAGAGTGAGACTCTGTCTATATAAATAAATAAAATTCAAAAAATGTTAAATGGGCCTTTGGTGTTGATTCACATAATGTTCCATGATGGTAATGATACAAGAGGTAGAGAGAAATTATTTATGCAGATAGTGAGGTCAAAAGAATCCTTGGTGGAATTACCTTTCTAATCAAAAGCAGCCCCCCAAATCATTTATTTTCTAACAAAGAGCAGCCTGAAAAATCAAGCTGCAGACATAGATAAGCAAGCTGGAAGCTTGCACAGGGGAATGATGGCAGCTGCACCGATAGGAAAGGGCTACCTTGGGGGCAGGCATTTCCAACATGGAGGCTTCATCTTCCCTTTTATTGTTACCACGTGTACAGTAAGAAAGAAATGGGTATCATGGCGAGTTTAGGCAGAAAACCCACCTGCATAATAAAAGATTGGTGTGGGGGCTGCCAGAGATTCGTGCCCTATGCAAATAGCACACCTGGTCCTAACCAGTCTTTTGCGCCCTATGTAGAACAGGCACCACCTCCTCACCAGCTCATCTATAAACCCCCCTGCATTTCAGCACAGATCTGGAAACCCATTTTTCCAGGACCCTTCTCTGTAGCGGAGAGCTATTCTCTTTCTTTTGCCTGTTAAATTTCTGCTCTTAATCTCACTCTTTGTGTGTCCATGTCTTTGATTTCTGTGGCCAAGAGACAACGAACCTCAGGTGTTACCCCAGACAATGAACCTGCTTCAGTAGCACAAAATATTACAGTTGAGAATATAGAATTACAAGGTATTACTTTCTTTAAGTGTTAATATAATTGTATTTTCTATTCAATTACTAATGTGCAAAGTTTACTGCCATAGTATACTGTCACTATTGACAAAGTAAACTATCACTACTGCCATAATGAATTGTCACTTCAGTAGGCAATGCTTCTTACCATTCATTCATAATAGTTGTTGCTATTTTTTAGTAAAAGCTGATTTTGCACAACAGGGAAACTTCTGAATAATAACCAGGGTGGAAAATAATAGAATTATTTTTTACATCTATATAGTATATCTAATAGAGTTTGTGGCAGGTTTAAAAAATTTCATAGTTAATGGGTGCAGCACACCAACATGGCACATGTATACATATGTAACAAACCTGCACATTGTGCACATGTACCCTAAAACTTAAAGTATAATAATAATTTAAAAAAAAACCTCATTTGCTAGAAAAGAAAAAAAAATTTCATCCCAATTACACAAAATCAGCCACAGTAATAAGCAAAAATACTTTCCAGTTGCTCCTTTATTGGGAGATTTGTGAAGAAAATGCAGTTCATTAGTTATAATGAAGATGTAGTTAATTAACATTTGAAGCATAACCATTGGCAGTGTCAAAATTTAAGCAGAGTGTATATTAAATATATAACTGCTCCTTGATTAGATTGAATTAGTGGAAACAGTGTTTCCTTCCTCTAAGTTTAAATATTTTCTGGTGAATAGTGCACTGCAAGTATTTGTGTTCCAAGATTTTGGATTTTCTAGCACAAACTTGTAAATACACAGGGACTTATTTACTCTTTCTCTTTCATTATTGCCTCCTTCACTGATAACATGGATTTGACTGAATACTGATTTATACATTAGCAATTGCTCTACTGACTATATTTCCTGCTAAGAGGTCAAATTATAACACCTATCAAAATATGTTTTCTACACTAAATATCTTTTGATGGTAATGTTAAAACTGAAATAACTAGAAACTCACACCTACTTTTATTCTATGTTTAACCAGTCAGTTTTCTCTGAATGTTTTCCAATTCTTTCCATTTCCTCATCCCAATCTTCCTACTTCTGTATTCTTATCTGCTTGTTCTAATTTTAACTTTTAGTTCTCTTTGTGTTAGTGCAATTTACGGATGACCTAATTTAGATTAGGAAATAAAAGCTAGTCTGCACTCATTGTTATGATTATGAAGATACGAATGGTGGGGTAATTAGAAAATTGTAGAAATCTACATTAGTCAGCTGTATGTAGAAGATTTACACTGAGAGATGTAGGTGTGTGATTCATGCCAGGTTAAACTTTTCAAGGCATTAGATTCAATAAAGATAAAATGATCCCATAACTTTTGACTGCAACATGAGCATTTATGACTAGTAGTTCTACATATTGAATTCTGAAGACTTCTCCAGCCCCTTTGTCCACCCCCACCAATCCTTCAACTAATCAAAATGTATATTCTCTAGCTGCTTTACTAGGACAGCTCTATATTAGATGGAAAAACATAAATTCAATTTTTTTACCATCTTTTCCTTTAAAATTTTTCTGTATGAATAACTCTCTGCCCCAGAACGTTTGATATATTCTCAATTCATTTCTAAGCTCTTACCCAATCTTCGTTCATAATGTATTCAAGAGTGAACAAAACCTGTCAAACTTATCAGTGTTGCTGAGAACACTGTAGTTCCTGCAGTAGTGAATATATCTGATGTAATGATTTCCTCCATTTACTTTACAAATGTTCCAAAAGCGACAGTATTAGCCTTTACCTTGTCTCCTGCCATATGCTTTATTCAGAATTTAGTTTTTAAACAAATACAAATTTACAAAATATTATGTACGTACAAGACATCCAAAGTTTACTAACTGGCAAGTTAACAATTTTGACTCTATGATTATACTTAGCACTTTCTAATGATTCTTTCAAATACATTGTAGGAGTTATAGTTAGCCCCAGCCATTTGTGTGATATCTGTATTTAACAGCAATTCTGAGCTTGTTATATGAGTCAGAGAGGAAATTAGAGTCTGAGGAAGCCCTGTATTTCCTAAACATCAAAATATAAAAGTTAAATTTTTCAAATTTTTAAAATTTCAATAGTGTTGGGGGTACAGGTGGTTTTAGGTTACATGGGTAAGTTCTTTGGTGGTGATTTCTGAGAATTTAGTGCATTCATCACCCAAGCAGTGTACACTGTACTCAATATGTAGTCAAAAACATCTTTTAAAAATAACTGAAGCAACACACAATAAGAAAAGGTGTATGTATAGAAATTAATGTTTATACTTTTGTGAAAATATGTAAAGTAGTACATTTTTCAATGTCATACTGCTTTATACAGATAAATGCTGCCCATTTAATGTTTTTGTTATACTTCTTAGGTTTTTTCTTTCTTTTTCTCTTTTTTCTTTTTTTTGCTACTACGTGTTTACCCTGGTTTTCCAATAGATTCTAAAACCCCAAAGAGTTTTGTTGCTGTTCTTTTGTCTGTAATAGTGGCAGTGTAGAAAAAGGAACATCATATTTGAATAAGAATTTCATCTCCAGCCTTTCTTAATGTTTGTCCTTTGGTTGGCTATCTAAACTTAAGATGTGCAAAGTAACGGTAACATTATTGTAACATTATTGTGAGGATTAGGAACGATGTTTGCAAAATGCCAAAGATTAAGTAATCAAAAATGTAAGGTTTTACTATTCTTTTAATGGTCTGCAACGTCCCGTGAGCCTTTTATAGTGTCTCCGTATACCAGGAATTCAAAGTGTCTCATGCCTTCATTTACTTCCATAACAAACTTTGGTAATAGAGTCCAGAGATTATAGGTTCATATTTCACTCATTTTTAGAGACTGATAAGGAGTTATAGATACTTATAAACATTTGTTGTAATACATTCCTTTATGGTAACAATAATTTAACCAAGATTAGCCCGAAAAAAATGCCAAAAATAAAAAATAAAAAACAAACACAAAAACCAAACAAACACAAAGTTTTCCATTTCTCACAATGCAAATTAGGCTTTTTTCAGAGTCAGAAACGAAAGATAACTGTACTTGCATTTTTAAATTAGTTCTCTTGTAATTTAAATGCCAAACAAAAAACCTTCTAATATGCTATTAATATTCAATTTAGTCAATAAAAATTCAATAAAACCTCAAGTTGCCAGACTGGAAATTAATTATAGGATCTCATTGCCCTATAAAACCTAGCTTGTAACATTATTGTTACAAAATACAAAAACATTGTTATCTGTTATTTCCTGAAGCACATCAGTTCTTGAAGTAACCCTACAAATCTGCAAATAATTGCATTTGCAATCTCTTGTTTTATGGGCTTATGATTAATAAGCATTGTTACTATGTAGTCTTCCAATTTTCAATTATATATATCAAAGAAAATAATGTGATTCCAGTAGGACTTCAAACCAAGTTTTTAAACTTTTTTTTTTCTATCCCCTTTCCTTTCCTCATTTCCCGTCACCCACAGTTTCAAGATGTAGCTCTGAGATAAACTTTACATCCTTGGAATGTTTTCTTTCCTCCACTCCCTTTCTTATCCCATTCTATGCTCCCATGCCTTATGCACACTGGTTACCTAGATGCTTGATAAACACACACCATACTCACTCATCTGGTCAAATATTTCCTGAGAAGCTTCAGGGGCCGGATGCTGATACAGACCAGACACCTCTGGCCATGATGGCACCAGCCCCTTTACCAGATGGAACGATAAATAATTCAACACAAGCCATTGAAGGGTGTCACAACACCTGACACTTCCTAGCCACCCTGCCTATTCTGCATTCCAAACTCTCTCTTTAAAGCCCCCACATTCCTTCTACAAATGGAAGAGTAGACATTTTTTGGAAAGAATTCCACCCACTCCTCTTCTTACTAGCATGGAAATGAAAATCTTGCTCTCTTTTTATCGCACCTCACTCTTGTTATTATGGCTTCTTTCTACAAGTGGCCAGCAGCCAGACCTTTTGCCAGTTACAGTCTCTTCCTTTCTGATTAACATGTGAAAGGAAAATAAGTCTTGGGACCCCCAAATCACTAAGCCAAAAGGAAAAGTCAAGCTGGGAACTGTGTCAGGCAAATCTTTCCTCCCTTTTTATTCCTAAATAAGATAAATACTGAGTTTTTTTTTTTTTTAAAGCTACATACATCCCTCACAATTTGCCCACAAGGAAATTCCTTGTGGGCCTCCAGATGCTTACCCTTAAAAAGTTACGTTGAATTTCACAACGGCAGTGTAAATTGACAGCTTATTTTCATAGGTGCAGGACAAAGGAATGACAGAACTCAATGTCATCCCTCTGTTCACCTGAGACAAATATGCATCTGATTGCTTCCTCTGCTTTATTGTTTATGAAAAAAATGCATATTCTCTAAGCCAGACTAAGGCATAAGTGACTATTCTTGTACCTCCCTCATATGTAAATTGTGTATTCAGTGAAAAGCTAATCAGATGCTCAAAAGAATGCAACCATCTGTCTCTTACCTACTTATGACCTAGAAGGCCCCCAGTTTGAGTTGTCTCGCGTTTCCGGACAGAACCAATGTATACCTTACACGTTGATGTCTGATATCTCCCTAAAATGTATAAAACCAAGATGTACCCTGACCCCCTGGGGTTAAGAATGGGCGCATTCTTAACCTTGGCAAAATAAACTTTTTAAATTAATTGAGACCTGTCTCACATACTTTCGGGTTCACAAACATTAAATAAGTTTTCCTTGAAAAGATAAAATATGGCAAAGTAAATATTCAAATCTTAAAACAGCTTCTGTAAAGTAAAAGTGCCTATTAAGAGTTCAACACTAATTGAAAGGTTATGTCTCATAAGGTAAGTAGAAAAATGAGGTCACAAAAATCATATAATGCACCCTATTTATGAAAATTCACTTTAGGTGCACTCATTTAACATGGCTTTAATATCACCCTTATAATTTGGAGGCTGTTAAGAATGTATCTTTTTTGAATGAAGACACTCTAAGTTATTTTTACCTTTCATAGCATCCATGCCTCCTACAGCATAAAGTGCCCCCACAGTTGATTTTCTAGGCTTTGTCCGAGGGCTTTGCATCATGGATCTTCTCTCAGGCAAAAGATGATACTTCATAGCTTCCATCAGGAGCTTCTGACACTCAAGATCACCAGTAAACATGGAACTGGTTTCAAGATCTGCCAGTAACTGAAAAGTAGTGATGCATGGTATATGAATGGAGAGTTCACCATTAGAAAGAACGTATTTGTATTTATATAACTTTAGAGGCTGGGCGCAGTGGCGTACACCTGTAATTCCAGCACTTTGGGAGGCCAAGGTGTGTAGAACGCTGGAGCTCAGGAGTTTGAGACCAGCATGGGAAACATGGCAAAACCTTGTCTCTACAAAAAAATACAAAAATTAGCCAGTTGTGGTTGCATGTGCCTGTAATCCCAGCTACTTGTAGGCTAAGGTGGGTTGATCGTTTGAGCCCGGGAGGTAGAGGCAGAGAAAACTTGAGCAAACCGAAATGTAGAAGTTTGAATATTTCATGCTTTTTGTTATTTAGTATGATTTTTATTTTCACTTATCAAGGAAAATAACTAAAAATCTGCTGGTAGTAGCTAATGACCTCTGCATATTTATTCAATTGACACATTATTCATCCTTTGAATATGTACACATATAATTTAAAGGAGCAAACATCAAAAAGCACTCATAGAAAGTATTGCTGAAAGCAGTTAAAGAGAATGGCTCTGTCTGCACAAGCAAGAATCTCCTAGTCTACTGCATGTGGCTAATACAAGTAGCAATCTTTTTGGCGGATTTGGGGTAGTTGTGTTGGTAGTGGTGGTCATGCAAACATGCTCAGTTAAAATAATAACAGACATGGTGGATGGTATCTGTATCATCTGATCACTTCTGCAGAGTATTCTGAAAGCAGGTGCTTTTTAACTGAGTTGAGATACATGCCTTAGTAACTAGCCAGCATATTAACAAAAATAGATGATCAATTCTTTTTAACTATCATTACCTGGCAGACAGTGACCTTATTTAACACTGATAAAAGTGAGGCAAAGTATTTTTCATGAGATGAATTGGAGAGAATTCAAGAGTATATTTCAGAATGTTGTCAAGAGTCATCTTAGATTGGTTCCCTTGGAGTTTTGGGTCCACAGTATCATGGGACATTGAGAGGAATAGTGAGCAGGTTGCTGGAATAGAAGAGGCAATCTTATTACATTAAACTTATCTGAATTTTCCTGCTCTTCATGTGTTAATTTCAGTTCTGTTCTCACTCCACCTGTGATATCTGATGGATCTTTATTTTGACTTGCCTCATGAGAGCCCAGGCATTTGCTTAATGCATATGCTTTCAGAAATAGGTCTAAAAACTAGGCTATGTATTTTTCCCTAAAAATACTCTTCAGAGATTCATCACCATCCTTTTTATATATTTCATTTCTAAGATATTTGTAAGGTCACCTTTTAAATTCTTTTGGAAAGCCTATATTTGCATGACATTGCCTATCACTACTACGATCAGGAAAAGTTGACACAGTCCATATTCTAGGTCTAAGGCATACTCAGAGGTGGGCTACCACGGTACTGTTGGTTGTACATTTGGGCTAGAAATTTCCCTCCATTCCAATAAAATAACAGAAGTTCAAACTAAGTTCATTTTGCTGAAAGTGTCATATAGACTTAAGGCTCTGTAAAGATACCAGCCTCTGATCTTACACCAGTGCATCTTAAGTTTTTTATGCCTAAAATCACAAGGAGAAATTGTTAATACACAGATTCTTCAGCCTGTTTCCATGAAATTGGTTAACTGGGTCTGCAGTGGGGCATGAGAAATTGTGTTTCTAACAAGTTCACAGGTCAAGGAACATTTTCAAAGGCAGCCTGAGAATCTCATATGTCATAGAACTTTTCTTGAAAATAATACATATAAGTGTATACCTTCACCCAAACATAAAATTTCCATAGATTCTAAAGATCATCTGTCAATCCAAAGATTTAGAACCCTGGATCTAAAATTACGTATATATTTATTATTTCTGTTTTTGGCGTTACTATTGCCTTCCTTGCTCTTTGGATAAATTTGCTATAACCAGAAGGGTAATCAACGTTCTTTCATTGCATATGGATAGATTCTTAAGAGCATGCATATAGTTCTATGGAATTTAATTAACAGCTGGAAGTTTTTAAAATGTGGAAAAATCAACTGGGCACAGTGGCTCACACCTGTAATCCCAGCACTTTGGGAGGCCGAGGCAGGTGGATCACAAGGTCAGGAGGTCGAGACCATCCTGGCCAACATGGTGAAACCTCATCTTTACTAAAAATACAAAAATTAGCTGGGTGTGGTGGCACATGCCTGTAATCCCAGCTACTTGGGAGGCTGAGGCAGGAGAATCGCTTGAACTAGGGAGTCAGAGGTTGCCGTGAGCCGAGATAGCCCCACTGCACTCCAGCCTGGCAACAGAGCAAGACTCCTTCTCAAAAAAAAAAAAAAAAAAAAAAAAGAAAAAAGGAAAAATCATCAACAGATTAACAATCTATTTTTCAATATTAACATTTAATTAGTAACTTTGTTATAAAAGTGAATTCATGTTAATATTTACAAAATTATTGATCCACTAAATCTATACGTCTCTGTTTTTAATTTGGATGATGTTTGAGGCCTATAGCCACAAATTCAATAGATATTACATGCATATGTGCAGTATATCCACATGTATTATAAATTTTATTGATCAATTTGCTACAGAGAAAAATCTGTGGTTATCACCAATGGTGAAATTATGTGGTGAGACTGCATTCCAAAATTCAGTATGAGTTGAGTTAACCCTGGATCTTATTCAAAGGTGTTTGTTCTTAGAATCATCTTTGCTATAATCCTTCAATTCAACATATATGGTGAGGATGCCTTTATAATTATGCTATAGTGCATCGAAAGTATGATAGCATTCTTTTGATCGTAGCGGATAATATTAAAAGATATTATTCAGTACCTGACTCCTTCCTAGACTCTCCTCTGGAAGGCTATTGTACTAATTACTAACATTTTGCCTAGAAGTTGTGCAGGAAAAAAAAAAAGAGTTAGCCTAGTCATTTTCCCAGCTTTTTACAAATATTATGTGGTGAAACTGAAACTAATGAGTATTCTGATGTTTATGGTTTAACGGTAGCTTTTTTTAGCCGTGTTTTTTTCTGTCTTTTATTAATGCCTCTAATTGATGGCTGAATATGTTCTTCTGTGAAACGAATCTTGTACACTCAAATTACCAGGAATCTTCTGAAAAAATAAAATTAGGCAAATAAGAAATGGATTAGTGCCTAGTGGTAGTTCAGAACTATATTTTAAATTACCTAGGTAATTTTCCATACCTGTGGTGGGAGTAATGGCAGTCTGATGTAAGAAAGCAGCATCCCCAGTTCTCCTTGCCTATTCTGCACATCATGCCCCACCCACTGCATTAGAGCATGAAAAATGGTCTCTTCATCAGGCACATTAATGTCATCACTGCACAGAAGTTTTGAAATTTCATTAGCTGGAAGCAGGAGGAATTCTTGGTTTTTTATTACCTCAATGAAGTGTTCCTAGAAAAGAAAGGTCATCTACTAAAACTTTGCACTTTAGAAATTTCTTAATGGAATAAGCATATCAAAGAATTTCATGTTCTTAAACTTCAGAAAATGCAAGAGACACAGATGTATTCACTTATAAAAAATAGGTGCTCCTGCTACCTGTGACATGGGTAACAGGGAGCCTTCTGGAGCTGAGAGGCCAAATGCTTCCACTGGGAATTATTTATAGAACATACAAGGTTAGCTTTAACTGCTTCACAGCCCACATAGGCAGAGTGTTGGAGCCAAAAGCGGCAGTTTTTGCTCCCAGCTGCCGTATGTGACAACAGCAGCTCATGACTTCAGAGCTGACTGTCTGGTTGGTCTTCAGCCAAAAGCCATAAGAAAAAGGCTGAAACTTTTTAAGGTGGTGGCTGTCTTGAAAGCCTAGGAGAGTTAACTCTGGCTATGTATGTGAGGCAGAAACAAACTGAATTCCTTGGAGATAAGAAAAAAGAATGATGAAAAACTCTTTCCTTTTATGGAAAAGTATGATCTTCTATTGACCAAGAGAAAAGTACTCTTTTGCAGTTGGTAACAATCTATGGGTTCAGGACAATCTAAAAATGATTCCTATAAAGTTTTTTCTTTAGGAAAGAGTGAGGATGTCTTTTAAATTTATATATTATCCCCGGCTAATATTTTCGTATTTTTTTTTTTAGTAGAGTGAAGCTCCTTCTCAAAAAAAATAATAATAAATTTATATATTATATCTCAATTCTTCTTTCATTGTGTTGTATTTTGTCAAATATACAATTTCAAACATCTGTGTTTCATTTTTTTAAATCAAAACACCATTATATTTTTTTCTAGTTTATAAATATTACATGTTCTTTCTTTGACAACAGAATGATCATTTTTAACATTTCTCATAGTGAAGATCTCAAGTTTTAAATGAAATAAAATATATTTCTAAAATGAAGATAAACATACCTACTTGGCAATTTATGTTGCATAATAAACAGATATTCCAGGAACAGTTTAAGCTAGTCTCCGAATAATTGGGGTCTCTAAATAAATCAAATCACCACCTCAGCTTTACTTTTAGTTGAGTCATTGTGGAAGTGAAACAATCAAAGAAGAAAGTTATCCAGACAGCAATAATCAATGTTGATACACCCATCAGAAAGCTCTGATGCCGTAAGTTTCAAACTGGCCTATTTAGACAAATAACTCTTTGTGATTAAGACAAACAACTGAAAGAGAACTGCTGTTCTTACTGTAGCAGATGTCTCTGGGTGAAGACCCTCCCACTTATACAAATAATGGTGATAGTAGTGCAACTATTAATACATTACACTTGTACAACACTTCACACTTTACTGATTTCTTTCACAAGCATTAAGTCATCACCAGTGTGATCTTGTGAGAAAGTGGAATTAGTCTGATAAGAAAGCAGGTCATATGAGTTGTCTGATTCCCTATGGAGTAAGTGGCAAAGTCTGGATTCAAGCATAAGCCTCTGAAATCATGCTTACTGCGTTTTGTTTGCTATTGCAACTGCTTTTCATAAGTGATATGATTTTTGTGAAAGAGTTTAGACAAATATAAAACTATAAAACTTAAGGTTATATAGTACCGATATTGTATATAAACTCTGAAACTGCATTAATATTACGGACACCTCAATATCTCCTCCTTTTTACCCACTCTCCAATTAAAAAATGAAGAGGAAAAACCTAGATTTTCTGATAGAATTTGTTATGACTTCAGAATTGCTTCCTAATGGGACTATTGAAAATTGCTGGGCAATATAGTAGATTAGTCTAAATAAAGAATAAGTGTAATTTTAAAGTATCTATATATTACATTGCAGTATCCAGTACTGTATAGAATTAATTAGTTTCACTTAAAGATTAATTTTAAATTGTTTTATTTTGGAATTATTTTGCTCCTAATTTCAAGGTAAACACTTTATTCTATGCAACTTCCAAGGGAGTCTTCTTTTGTGCCCTGGCTTAACTATTCATTTTATAAAAATCTACACTTATATTGTTGCAAAATTTACCAAATGACTATCACATATTTGATAAATGCTTCATTGATGCAGACAACTATCTGTATGATTTAAATGGTTAATTTTATGTATGAACTTGACTGGGTAACGAACGGGGTACCCAGACATTTGGCCAAATAGCATTCTGAGTGTGTCTGTGATGGTAGTTCTGGATGAGGCCCATTCACATTAGGGAAGGCAATCTACCTTGTTCAGTCTACCAATGCACATGATTACAATTGAATCCCTAAATTGTTTAGTATTATTCTTAGACATTAAAATTATTTGCATTATTAAACTATCAATCCAGTACTGCAACAACATTATTATAGCAAGACCTTTATATATTTTACTGTATTTACAATAGATACTAACATAACTAAAGAAGAGAGATTAAGAGAGACAACAATATTACATTTTTATGCACATTCTGCTTCAACACTCCGTTTTGGTCACATAATAGGAAAAGGAAGACAAGTTCATTTTGAGCAACAAAAATAATTCAAACTTTTTTCGGAATGTATTTTGCTTGCAAGTGTGTAATACTAAACAGGAAACTGCTAAAACTTAGTTCAAGAATTTAAGTAATTTAATAGGAAGTTTTCATGTTTATTTTTTGTGGTAGAATAAACCTTTGACCTTCATAACTGCTGTTCCTTTAGATTATATGGCATCTGTATTTAGGACGCAGGGACATAAATGGTGTAATTAAATGATATATTTTAAAATGTCAATCCATTATAATATGATTCTCCATATAATGGTATTGTTTTAGGAATACGTTTCAAACTTCAAATTTTGAGCAATGGACCTAGGGTGGGAAGTAGGAGGGAGAAAGATTTGATAAGAAGTTTTTAAACAATTGAAATTTTAGAAATTAAAAAATTACCTTCTGTATAAAACTCCAGAAAAATACTCTTTATATGCATCTCTATTCTAAAAAATGCTACTTTTATTTATGATTTCAATGTGTGCCTTTCTATTGTTCACTTGTATGCAATTGCTTTTTGTTTTTTAATATTAAATAACTGAAGCAATTTCATTCTTTGAAATATTTATATTTTGATTGGGTTTCACAAAATGATCCATCTCTTGTGTCCTTCCCTTCTTCAGAGGTTAAAAAAGTTTATTTTTACTCTGTCTCAGGGAAGTATTGGCATCTATTGTAAGGCTTTATTGAATATCCTCTGTCCATTTAATATGCTCTATCTTATCATATGCAACATTTAAATAATTACCACCTATGAACATTTGCATTAGATTTAATTGTTAATAGAATTGAAAGGGATTTTAAGTTAGTTGCATTAATGAATTGAGCTGTAAGTTATTTTTAACCAAAGTAAAATTTGTTACTAAGACATAAAGAAGTTCATTCAATAAAATTATCTGGGCTGGGCGCAGTGTCTCATGCCTGTAATCCCAGCACTTTGGGAGGCTGAGGCAGGTGGATCACAAGGTCAGGAGTTCGAGACCAGCCTGGCCAATATGGTGAAACCCCATGTCTACTAAAAATACAAAAAAAAGCAGGGCATGGTGGCGGGCGCCTGTAGTCCCAGCTACTCGGGATGCTGAGGCAGGAGAATCACTTAAACCCAGGAGGCGGAGGTTGCAGTGAGCTGAGATTGCGCCACTAATTTTGGTAGTTTTTAAGCTCTGACAATTATTGACCCATTAATATTAGCATTTTTCCTTACTGAATGACACCTCACTTTCTTTATAAATCATAATTCGTACAATTTTACAAACTAAAGCTCTAATTGTGCAAAAACATCAGGGAATTAACATTTTCTTAATACTATAGATTCTATTTGAAATACGCAGTTGTACAATTTATTTTTTGGCAGTATTTTTATTTCCTTAAGTTTGGGGATTTAATTAAACATTTGTAATTCAGAAAAGGAAAAGCTTGCCTGAGTGCAGCTCAACCAGACAAATGTTTTTGTTGAATATATCATATGTGAAAGTCATCTACAAGTTATATAAGTTTATGTTGCTTATTAATTTTATTATAACATTAACATATTTTTACTACAAGTTCAGTTGAAGCAATTGATTTTACCATAGTGTATTTGTGTGCCACGTTCAGAAGTTCTGTACAGCCTTGGGCATCTCCAAATGATCGAATCCCTAAGCAGTTTGAAGGATGGAGCTGCTTTATGAGAAAATTGGAGCAAACATCAATGACCTGAGTCAGCTGCAGAAGACAAGCTGCAGCCAGCAAACTTTCAATGGTATCTTCTTTCAATTGCAGGACTCCTAGATGGTTTGAAAAAGCAAAGAATGATTATAAGTTCCATAAAGTAAAAACTACGTCAACTAGTTGACATTTTTTTTTTATTTTCCTCTCTAGTAGAGCTATGATTTTCAGCAGATTTGGAGCACATTTTGAGGCTAATATACGCAAGAGAGTCTGTCTGTAAACACTAATAAGATGGCTGAAATGAACCAGATTAGGTTATCAAAAATGACTGTAACAAATAAACAGTGAATAACACTATTGTAAAGAACAGCAACTTGTCACTTCTTTATCATCTTAGGCCTGCATTTAAATCTTATATTAATCATTTCACATTGTATATGTACATGAGAATATTACGTTGTACACCTTAAACACATACAATTTTAATTTTTAAATCATACCTGTATAAAGTTGAAAAAACTTTCATTATGACTCAAAGAACATTATGTCATATTGTATAAGAATCATACAATTGGCCATGCAAGTAACTGTCATTGTGAGGAGGTAAACATCTTGGTAAATAAAAAAAGCATTAAGCTTAATTGTCCGTTTATTTTGTAAGAAGAACACTGAACTTTTATGCCTTTTTTTTTTGTATCTACATTAGCTGGTAAAGATGTATTTGCCCAAAATATTATCTCTAGAATTGACCCCTGGCACTGTCTCAAGAGGAAGAAAATGTTGCCAAGAGTCCACAAATGAATAATTACTTATTTGCTTTGTTATAAAAAAAAAAACAGTCTCTTTTTGAAAATATCTGTAATGAATTTTACAAAACAGAATCAGAAGCAATTTGAGTTAGTCCGTTTATATTTATATGTCTGTATTATTTTTAGAACAAGTGTTATTGAATAGTTATTGCAAAAATTCTGCGATTTTATGAGACATTCCTACTTTTTATTGTTTTAGCCAAGTTATAAAGAATGTTTCAAATGGCTGATATCAATTACAAACTATTCCCCTAAAGTTTTCCCTTCTAAAATACCTTAATATGGGGCTCATATAGTTGCATAACCATAAGGAAAAGGGTAATACATATTGTGAGGTCCTCTATACATAGTTCAACCTGTAAAATATATTGTAAAGGGGTCCAGCCCATCAGCAGACTCTCTTGTATTGTTCTTGTTTTGATTTTGAAGGGAGAGCCCTGCCCATATCTCATGAGACCTAGAGAAGTATGATCTATTCTCCAATTCAGATATAAATATTCATCTGCTATAGACATTTAAATTTGGTCTGGTTATTAGGAAGAATATTCATTCAGAGGAATAGTTATAAATGTCTTCGATACAGTAGGAAAGCATTGTATATTACAGTGTACAGTATTCAGTTACAAGCATGCTTAAGAAAGGCTGTTTGGAGCTGCTTCAAGTTTCACTTCATTAAAGAGTAAAAGGATAGTCAAGCCAGCTGGCTGAATTATCTTATCCTACGAATGCTTACTGGAAACAAAAAGATGTTTTCTAAAGATTAAAATGTATCAGGTGGAAGAAATAAAGTTCTTTCCATTTCACTCCTGATTTTAAAAAGCTTATTGAAATTTTAGAGCATAATGAAAATTTAGGGAATATTTTTGCTTAAAGGCTTGTCAGGAGAAAGGTGAAAGTTGAAGGAAGGAATGAAACACTGTAAAATTTCAAAGTAGTTTTGTTAGAACCGTGGTCTTCAAATAGCATGCATACCGCTAGAGTTACATAAAACCCATCTGAGACGCAGATCAATTTCATGTAAAGAAATTTCAGTACCTCAAATTCCATACATATCCCTCCTAAAAAATGGTCTGCTCCCAAAACAGTTGTTACCACACAGGTTTTACTTTCCCAGTGTCCTTTCCATAATTTTCTTTTTTCTCACCTCATAAAAGGAAGTCACATTGCTCACCTATCCCAAAGTATACTATGCTACATTATGGGGTTGTGGCATAGGAACAACTTTGAAATAAAAGTTTATTCATACATATTTTTGTTAGGATCTAAATCATATCATATTCACACTTTCAAAATGTACAATCTGGTGTTTTTTAGTATATTCAAAAAAGCTTGCAACCTGTATCACTATCTAATTCCAGAACATTTTCACCACTCCCAAAAGGAACTCCATACCTATTAACATTCATTCCCAATTCCCTCCATATTCCTACAACCAATAATATATCTTCTGCCTCTACAATTTTTTTTATTTTGTACATTTAATGTAAATGGTATAATAAAATAAGCGATCTTTTGTGACAGGCTTCTTTTATCTGGCATATTTTCACACTTCATCCATGTTGTAGTATCTATTACTACTTCATTCCTTTTTTATTGCCTATTAATATTACATTGTGTTCATATACCGTATTTGATTTACCCATTCCTCAGTTTGTAAACATTTGGGTTGTTTCTACTCTTTAGTTATGAATGATGCTTATGTGAACATTTGTGTACACACTGTTGTGTGGACATGTTTTTAACTCTTGGGTATATAACTATGAATGGAATTGCTAAGTTATAAGGTAACTATTTTGTTTAACTTTTGAGGGACTGTCATACAGATATATTTTTAAATGAATTGTTGTTGGTACCAAATTCTCATGGGATTGAGATTTGTTAGATACATTTAAAATGCAAACTTAATAGTGCTTTATAAAAAGATTAATATTTACAATATTTTGGGGATTATATACTTTACAAATATTTAAAATTACAACATATTTTAGTCATTAATGGAAAAATGTAAGGAGAGCATATCGCTTTTCAAAATTATTTTACAGACAGTGCAAGCAAAAATGTTTGAAAATGACTCTGTTGGAGAAAGCCAGGAGGTAAGCTTTTAGTCTTAAGAAGAGCCTAAGTATACATAATCAAATAAAAATATTTTAATACTAAGAGACCCTGAGGATGAATTAATCATTCTGGAATAAAAGTCAAAATACTTTTTAGTCCCCAAATTCATTGTTACCTTTATTTGCAGTTTGAATAGATATGAAAATTATTCTGAATGAACAGAATGACTAAATCTCTACTGTAGGATTGGAAGATCCCATTCCCAACTCTACTTTTTACAAACAAGAATGTGCCCACACCATTCCAGAATTGTTCCTGTATGTTTGTGTTAAATAGTTGTCTGCTCTCATGGTTAAGGTATTTTCTACATATTATATACCTCTTCTTCTTTTATATTATCGAGTTTATATCCTAACTATGCCTTTTTATTACTTTAGGAAATTTATTTAACTGATCTATTCTTTAGTTTCCTCACCTTTGTAGTTGTAGTAGCAGTATTACTACTATGAAGAATAGTAGTAGTATTAGTAGCAATAATAACTACTACTACTACTAATAATAATGTGTTATGTAATGTAGGGTCATTATGAGTTAATGTGTATTTGGCACTTACCTGTGTAAGCATACTGCACCAAGGAATTTAGTGCATTTGGATCTACTCCTTCCATCCTGACCTCTTCTTGTTTGGCTTCAAGCACATCATTAGTAAACATTGCAGCAAAATAATCAGACACTGCGCTGAGAACCAACCTGGAAATAGGAAATATTTGTAGGAATTTAAATGAGTCAATAATTTCACTGAAAAGCATGAAATGGATTCAGCAAGTTTGTAACACTAGTGAGTCTGTTTTCTCCATAAAATCTTTATAATTCAGTTAAATGTAGTGAAGTTAGAAAGGTCAAATACATAAACTGATCTTTTTTAGAGGGTGTGTTTGTGCTGTACTTTCCATCATCAGTCTTTTCCAAGTTTGGATCTTCTAAATAATACACAGAGAAACAGATCATATAGGCGAAGACTTTTTCAATATAGGAAAATAAATATTTTTACAATATTCCAGTTTATAATCCATGTACTCATTATCTCTTATTTATAATTGCCCTACTCAAAACCATTCTGTATACA